>NC_000006.12:103707153-103858668 GCF_000001405.40 Homo sapiens | reverse complement strand
AACTGTTTTAGGGTCCTTACCTGCTCATTTCAACATCTGTATCAGTTCATGGTTAGTTTTGATTGATTGATTTTTCTCCACATATGGGTTATCATGCCTCTTTCCATATCTGGTAATATTTTATTGATGCCAGACAATATGATTTTATCTTGTTGTGTGCTGGCTATCTCTATAAATATTCTTGACCTTTCTTATGGCACACAGTATGCAACTGAAAAATAGTTTGATACTTTCATGTCTTGCTTTTTAAGAGTTATTAGATGAGCGGGACTCTTCTAGGTACTGCACCCCTTGCTCTAGGAATTTTGAATTTGTCCAGTTTTGCTGAATTGACCAGGTTCCATTCCATGCCCTATGAGGGTAAACTACTGTCCCTCTAATGCTTTCCGGTGGTTCCTTCCTTAGGAAGTTTCCTTAATGTGTGTGCTCATCAGATTCTGCTAAAGTTCTGATTATTCTGCTGAGTAGTAGAAAAAGATTGTCCACAGATACCTGGGCTTCTCTGTGCAGCTCTCTCCTCTCTAATATTCTGTCTGCAAATTCTAGCTGCCATGGCATCCATGGATACTCAGCTTTATCATCTTGATTTAAGGACTGTCTCTGGATTCTAGCTTCTTTCAATATGGCCTGGTTATTTTCTCAAGGCAGTAAGCTTCGGGGGGTGGGGGGATCATTAATTTAATCCTGTTTTTTTTTTCTATTCTCTCAGAAAACACTATCCTTTATTTTGTTAGGTCCAATGCCTTGAAGATGATTGTTTCATGTTTTTTTTTCTGCTTTTTTCCTTTTTTGGATGTTTGTCTAGTGGTGAGGAAAAAAATGGAATTAAATCGGTCCCTGTTACTTCAAACATGTCAGAGAAGAAATAAATATATGCAGTTTTATTTTTCTATGATAGGTACTCAAAATGGTTTGAAGGATAAATGTATTTTTTGTTTTCATAAATATTGGCATATTTTGTCTAAAAATGTAGCAAATTACACTTTTATAAACATATATGACAGTACATTTTTCTATATTACCTCAAAAAAATGTTATTTTTAAATGTTTCCAGTCTGGTGAAAAGTTATCAGTCATTTTCAATTTAAAAATTTGAATTTCCTATTACTGAATTTAAGCATAATTTTATATGCCTATTTGTCTTCTGAACTTGCTCTTTTGGGCATTGCTGAGTTGCGTATTTTTATAACTTTTTTCTTTTGTGCTGCTGTACATTCACTTATCAATTTGTAAAAGCGTACTGTGTCTTTGAAAAAATAAATCTTGTATGTCATCTATTGTTAATATTTTCCTCAAATATTATGTGTATTTTCTGATTAATATTTGCCTATTGGTTTCATCTTATATTTGATTTTTAATTTTTAACATTTTTATTTTAAGTAATTGATTTAAAATAACAGTGTTTATTTTATAACATCAATGTTTCATAGTATCTTGGTTAAGGACATTCCTTTTCTTGGGTTGCACAAGTAGTGTTCTGGTATTCCTCGAAAGGGTCCAGGGTCACCTAGGTAGTAGACAAAGGAACTGAAACCAGAATATCTATTCCCATACCTTTTCCATTTTATTATATTTCTATTACTTTAATAATTATAAGCTAATAATTAAAATAGACTTTCAATTGTCAAGGAAGAAAGGAAGAGAGACACTGGAGAGATGGAAACAAAATAAAGAACTTTATTTTATTTTATTTTATTTTTGAGACAGAGTCTCACTCTGTTGCCCAGGCTGGAGTGCAGTGGCGTGATCTCGGCTCACTGCAAACTTCACCTTCTGGGTTCAAGCTATTCTCCTGCCTCAGCCTCCTGAGTAGCTGGGATCATAGGCGCCCACTACCACACTCCACTAATTTTTGTATTTTTAGTAGAGACAGTTTCACCACGTTGGGCAGGCTGGTCTCAAACTCCTGACCTGAGGTGATCCACCTGCTTCAGCATCCCAAAGTACTGGGATTACAGGTGTGAGCCACTGCACCCAGCCTAGAAAATAGAGAACATTAAATCATGAACTTTTTTAAAAATTAAAAATATATGTATCTGCTACATCTAGATTATCTTGAGAAACAAGTCATGTTGTTATCCCTCATCAGCAGACCCATCAAATGAGATTCAACACATTTCAGACTTTTGCTGTATCAAGGAAATTTTCTAAACCAACTAGTAGTAGCTCTTCTTGAGAATGGAATTTGCATGCGTATTTTAGTACAGGTGGTAGTGATAAAAGAAAATGTAAGAATATGTAGTACAAGATGTCATCGTCTCTTTTAATAGCACCCTCTCATAAATTTCATGGATGATACAAGATTGTAGGGGGATTTATGTGAAGCAAGTTCTGAGTCCATGATGTCTACCTATAAGTTTGTTCACTTTCAACTGAATGATAACTTGCATTTCAGAGATGAATTTTGTAATGATAGCTCTCTTGCATCTTTAATTGAACAATCATAGAGTTGTTCATGGTAAGACTTTATACTTTATTTTAGCTCTAATACCTAAATAATTTGAAACTTTAAATGATTCATTTTATTTTATTGTACCTTTGGAGCTGTCCACATTTCACTCAGTGGTAGTCGTTCCTTCCCATCATAAAGAATCCATGGAGGAAAGTAGACATCCAATTAACCACTCACCTGACACCACAGCTTTCCCTTCGGAATGATATTTTAGCTTTGAGATACACTGAAGCTTGACTCTCTCATGACATTTTGCTATCAAACATTCAGGTGAATTGCATTAAGGACGTTAATTTTCCTGACAGTCTTTCAAAATAGTGCTTCAAAAATGTCCAATAATATGGCAAATACTGTAAGAAGACTTGAATCTATTGTTGTAACATATAAATGTTATTCAGTCTACCTCTGCTGTCTTATCCTACAGCCCCATATAATTGTAATATTTTTATATTTATATGTGATATATTTTTTGTAAAGATATATCATATTTTTAAAAGAAAAAGGAAATATATAAGGGCAGTTAGACTTTATTAAAGCACATAGTGTTTTCAGATATCACCAAGTGAAATATTTTTATCCAGGATAAATGTTGAGTGTTTAGTATTTTGTTTATGAAAAAAGCATAGAATTTTTCAAATTTGCTCATTATTCCACATAACTCATTCAAAGTCTCTCCTTTCTATTCTAATTTCATTAATAGTCACAACAATTTTGTGAGTTTAATCTTATTTCTTCAAATATAGTATAAGTTCTTTAAGACTTACTTTGATATTTATATTTCTCTTGCATCCCCTGTAACTCATATTCAGTTGTATATATAGCCATCACTCAAAAATATTGTAATTAGTTTGTATTCAACAATTTAGAAATATATATATATGTTAAATATCCTCCAGGTGACACAAATATTAGTAAAAGAAATGAATACATACCCTCAAAGAACAGATATTCAACAAGGAGGATAAGATGAAAGTGTACAATCTACCCCCACACACATAGTCACACAAAAACAGAATAGAAATTAGTAGGAACAAGCCATCAAATGGTAAAAACAAAAAACAAAGGAAAACACCCAAATTGTTAGGAGGGTTTAGAAAACAGCTTACAACTGATGAAGTAAAATTTTAAAAAGCTCCATGAGGAAGTGTAACTTAACATGGTTGATGAACGAGTTTTACAAATGGACAGAGGAGAAGGCTGTTTCATATACACAAAAAGCCACATTCAAATGTTTGAAGGTGCCAGTTATTTTCTTGAAAAAGTCAAAAATTTTCATCAAAACATAAAGACCATTCACAGGAATAGACTAGTATCTGAAGGGTATAGTATCTGAAGAACAATTATAATAGTAAGCTGAGGAATTTATGCTTAAAAGTTGTTTTTAAGTAGGTAGATGGAGTGACAAGAGCAACAACTATAAAAGCACCAACAGGCATATTTTCAGCAAAATTAGAGGACTAAGAAAACTCCCAAATCAAATCATGTGATTACTTCAAGATGCAATAAATCTGGAGAGAGAGGCATAATTTTAGAAGATCTCAGAAATCCCTAGGAATAGTTCATTACCTTAAGGAATGGAACTCTCACACCTAGTACAGACAGTAGTGATAAAAGCGAATATGATTATATAGTATAAAATGCTGCACTTTTTTAATACAGCCTAAAGGCTGTTGATGAAGGCTAAGAATGGACAAGTCTTGAATGTCAGGTAAGCAAACTGAGAGACAATATGGAAAGATCAGTGTGATCCAGAAATGGAAACTCAGAAGGTAAAAGCAAAATGTCTCTTGTAAATATTAATTGAATTGCCATAAAGTCCAGACTGTGTCTCATTCCAGCCAACAGCTTGTGAAGAAACTTGAAGCTCAGATCTGTTATTAAAAACCTTTGAACCAAGTTTGGGTAGGAAAAGTGCAGAAGACATGGCAACAATCATTAGCAACAGCAGCAACACAAGAGGGAGTTCATGAGCAGAAAAGTCTGGGAAGCACCCTGGCCCACTCATCCCTTCCAGAGCAAATGCTTACAAAGAGTTGATTAGCAAAATGCAGCCATTCAGATAACCACAAAATAAAAATATACCACATTCATACAAAAATATTACAGATGACAAGATAAAAATAGTACAATTTTGTTACAGGTTATTAAACTTACCAGAAAGATAATGCCACAAAGTAAACATTCCAACATGAATTAAAAAATAAATGAAAGAAGCAATCACTTTTATGAAAGATGACCAGAAAGAACATATGCACAATTTCTGAGACAATATGGCCAAACCATAGGATGTAACAAAAACATGCAGAATTCAGGAAATAAACAGAAGAAAGAGACAAAATCATTTGAAAAATGAAGACTAAAGTACAATGAGCACAAAAGAGAACAGACCTTACATAAAGCCAGTAACAGACACAGACGATAGAATCAAGAAAACTTAATAAACATATTATTTAAAAGAGTAGAGAAAAAATGATAGATATAGAAGACAGTCAATGGGTATTATGTTCATTGAATTTCCAAGTAAGAAAGGCCAAAAAAATAGAATAATAAAATACAACAATAAAATGTTGCATTGAAATGAATATATAATAATACATTACCTTAAATGGTATTACATTCAGATTCTTAATTTCAATTTAACTTTTAATCATTAACATCAATTCACTTGATCAATCTCCAACCTGATTTTACATATGTCTATGTTGATCATATCACTTTGTCAAAATTGTGCCCATCTTGAATGTTTGAATACGTAGTGAAATATTATATTTCTCAGTAATTTCCAGCATTTTTAATAATCATCTGCCAAATAAAATGGTCACTTGCTGGCTTAAATTTCAAACAACTTTGAGTCTTATGACAGTTTTTATAGTTTGAGTTTGCCTTTAATTTAATTTATTTAATATTTGTTATTCATATGTTTTATTATAATAACAGACAGACTTTATATGCCTTTCTGATGTAGCAGGGCAATGTATGGCATACACTTTTTAATATTCAGTACTTTGAATATGCTGTTGAATATGGTACATGGTAAATATTTGCTGATATACTGAATAATGTATAAATATTGATGAATTGGTTAAATAGTTTTTTATGGACTGAATCCAGCTTATTACTTTTATCACTTATCTATGCACTGCATACACTATGCTACTGTCTTGCAAATTTTTGTAATTTGAGCCACAGTAAACTATATTTACATATATATTTCTGATAAAATAAATATATGACTTTTAAATGTCCACTCCAACTTGGGATATATCTCTTTTAGCATCTCCAGATTAAATTTCTGCCAGAATTCCAGCTATACACGTTTACTTATTTCAGAGACTTCTCTACACACTAAACCTATGTCATCAATTTTTATCCACTCAGTTGTTTATTTGCTAACAGATTCCAATTAGAATCTTTCACTTTTTGGCTTTATCTGCCATTTGATAAAGCCAGGTTGAATCAAAGAAGACAGTGATTATAGTTTTTATATTAAATAATATGGGCTCATTATTTTCTGCCTCCAGACTGTCAGGTACAAAATTCGTTCATGTGCCTCTGTAACTTTTAAACTGCTTTGCATTTTGCTTCCTGTCCAGCAGCATCATCTACAAGTTCTCTATTGTAGGGTAAAACTTGAGTGATACTGAAATATTTCTAATTCTTTCAGTATGCTTTCTCACTCTCCATTGCCCTTTCTCATAATGTTCTTTCTGCTTGGAATGCCTTCCACCATTACTCACTTGCAGTCTTGTTCATTCTTCAGCTTCTGGCTCTGAATGTCTTTCCTTTGTGGGAAAAACATATTGGTTCATTTTTTTCTATGCTCTCTTCATGCTTCTTATAGCCGTCCATCATAGGCTTATCAGGTCGAGTTACAACTGCTTTTTAATATACCTCTTTCCCACTGGATTTTACACTCTTCAATGATGTGAATTTTTTTAAATCTTTACAAGCCCATTATTTTAGACAGTGCTTAGGAAATAGTTGGTGCTTAGTAATGGTAGTTAATTTTTTTTATTTATGTTTTACTCATTTGAAATTAGCTTTATATTTGCTCACCAATGAAGCTCCAGTAAAGTTGTTTTTAAACTTGCTGAAGTCTGTATTAGGGTTCTCCAGAGAGATAGAATCAATAGGAGATAGCTAGAGAGAGAGAGAGAGAGAGAGAGAGAGAGAATGATAGATAGACAGATGGTAACTTATTAGGGGAATTTATTAGGGAACTAGATTATGGAACAGAAGTCTCATGACAGGCCATCTTGCAAGCTGAAGACCCTGCAATGCTGGTTGCATAGCTCAATCCCAGTCTGGAGGCCTCAAAACTAGAGAAGCTAATCATGTAATTTTCAGTCCAAGGTTGAGGGCCTGAGAACCAGAGGTCTTCTGGCATAAGATCTAAAGTCCCAAGGCAGAAGAGCCTGGAGTACTAATGTCCCAGGGCAGAAGAGTTTTTCAGCTCCAGAAGAGAAAGAAAAAAAAAAACTCAACTTTTCTCTCCTCTTTTGTTCTACTGGGCCTCCAGCCAATTGAATGGTGCCTGCTCACGTTGAAGGTGGATCTTCCCTATTCAGTGCAACTCCCTCACCAATCTCCTCTGGAAACACCCTAGCAGACACACTCAGAAGTAATGCTTTGCCATATCTCTAGGTATGTCTTAATCCACTCAAGTTGACAACTAAAATTAAACATCACAGTCTTTCAAGCATGTAGCATTATAATCTATAACCCTCTGTGAACCCTTAGTTTAATTACCTTTCCATTATGATAGATCTCCAGGTAATGTGCTTTGTTTTACTTTTTAAAAATTTATTTCCTAGCCCTCTTTCTGGACAGTCTGGAAGAAGCTACTTCATCTCACTGTATTTCAGTTTTGGCCCCTATAAAATAGGGATAGTAACAGCATCTACATTGTAGGGTTGTTGTGAAGATTAAGTAAATTTTTATACATAAAGTACTTAAAACAGGACCTGGCATATGTATAAATGCCCCTAAAATGCTTTCTAGTATTATTATTATTCTTTCTAGCTGCTTTGTAATCTATTCTCTCTGTTCACCCTTGGTGTTGTCTCTATAGTACCCAAATAGGAAAAAGACCTTGCAATAGCTCTCTGGAAGGCCAGCCTATCATGTCTGTGGCAGTTCCTAGAAGTGACCACTTCCCAGATACTGAGAGTTTTTCAGTCTGACTACAACAGACATGGTTTTCTTAAAAATTATGTGCTGCCAATGATCAGGGACATTTCTCTGAAGCAAAATGGATCCTGAATGTTCTAGAAAAATTTATAGGTAATGACAGTTTGCATCTACTTGTATGTAACAAGAATATCTAAATTAAAAGGGAAAATAAGCCAGGAATTATGAAATTATTATTAATAGGTAATCCACATCTGTATTATGGACACAACTGTGTTCCAGGAACAAAACTTCATGTGGATTTGACTAATATTATTATTTGACAAAGTAAACACCTCTGTTTCTGCTGGGAAATAGGCATTTATAGTCAAGAGGGTAAAGTTGAGATGAAGAGGGGGTGATCTGGCTCATCTATAAAATATTCCTGCTTGTGTGAGGTATGATAATGCCTGCCTGTTGATATTAAATAGGATTAACAAGTACCTACTGCAGTTATTATTAAAACATATAGATATTTTAAAAACTGTTGTAAATGCATATATACAATATTTATAAATCACATTCTGAAATATGTATATTTATTTTTATCCAGTGTTTTGGTGACTGATTCTTATGTGTTAGGCCTATATATATAAATTGAATTTATTGTCTAGTATGTTTAGATGCATTTTCCCTTTTGATTCATTACAATCCTTGATAATTATATTCTATCATTTACTCATACTCTTTTGACTTTTAGTCTTCAATTACAAATGGATCTTAATGAGCTCCTTCACTTGCATCTGCTTCTGTGCCTTTTCATACCGGATCTTTTCCTCAAAATATTGTACTCTCAAATTGCATGTCAGGCAGCACCCCCAGGCTTTTCTAATGAGTATACTTGTAACTTGGACAGTGAAAAACATAGGACACTTTAAAAAATGACAGTTTATTTGAAATTCCCAAAACATCAAATTTTACCAGTGATTATTGAAATTTTTGACCCCAACTTTTTGCCTACTCTTTTTTACAGTGTAGAATGAATGCTTCATGATAATAGTGAATTTATGTCCTCACTACCACATCTGGTTTCTATAACAGTGTCGGTAACATAGTAGGTATTCAATGGATATTTGTGACAATGTGTAGAGTAACAACGTATATAAATGAAACCTCAAACTAATAAATGTATATAGAGAATTTGTATAAAACAATTATCTGAAATTGGGAAGAGTCTATTCTGTTCTTCCCGGCACAATGGTCTATTTGTTATAAAAGATGGTTAGATAGTTTTTCAGTTATATATTTTGATATAAATTCTAAGCTTAGTTGCTCCTAATCATTTTATAGTCTGGCTTCTTTTATAAAAAAAACTTTTAAACATTATTCACAAACAACCTCATCAGAACAATCAATCTACTTTTAAGACAATTTTATAAAAACTTGGAGTTTTCTTTTACCTTTTGGTATTACCCAGAATTAAATCAATTTGAGGACATGATAGTATATTTTACAAGAAGTTGTTTTACTGTATTACAAAAGTAATTACTGGCGCAATTTTTAAAATGCATTTTTTCTAAGTAGTCTGAATAATCTTATTTCTTTAAATCAGGCTTTCTCAATATTTCATAAACTTCATTTTAACAGGGAAATTATATAATGAATATAGTTTGATTGAAATGCTGCTTCACCAATTAATTGTTTTTCATATATGCATCCACTTGATTATGGCCAAACAAGTGGAAGCCACAGCAAATATTCAATAAAAACTGAAAGCAAAAACTATGGAAAATTCCGTGTGGAGCTTGAGTTCTATATAGTCTTGGATAGTATGTCATTCATTGTTTTGAGTCCAGTGTACTGCACATGGTGGTTACTCAATGAATCTTTTTTTTAACAAATAAAAAATAGTTCTTTGTTGGTAGTTCCAATATTTTTTAATTGGCATCTTTTATAATAGCATCCTATTAGGCAATCAAATCTTACAATATAAATTTCTAGGGAAAGATTCTTGCTTTAACTTCTGGTGTTAGAAGCAGATCGTTGAATCTGTATGAGAGATATTATGTCACAGTCTAAGACCAAATAGCCAAGCCCTATTATTTTATAGCTAAGAAACAACACGTAGAGTGAGACTATGTGTTTTCAGTAGAAAAGAAAAAAACAAACATACATCTTCCTGAGCATTGTTAGACATTTTTCAACCCTCTTAATGGATTAATGTTCTTAATTAAATTTATATTTCAGGAGAAAGTAGAGATATCTGTATTCTCAAAAAAATTAAGCCAAATATCATTAGATATTAATTTATGTTTTAAAACACTTTGAGGAGGCATCAATATTAAAGAACAAAAATTAATTACTGTAAAGAGAGTGATTTGAATCACATTGATTCTACTGATATCGAAACTTAATAGCCCTCTTTTAAATTATAATTTGCCAAGATAATTGGTGATTGCTTCTTTGCCATTCTTTCCCAAACATCTCTTTCTGTTTTGATTTTAACTTTAGTTTTGGAATTTCTAAACATAAGCTTATTGACAATACCAGTTTTAAAAAATAGTTATTGTCAAGCATTATGACACTTGTCTGTATGCCATTTCCAGTAGTGCAGCATTTTTTCCTCATATTGAATCTTTGAAAGAAGTGATCCCACAACTAAGTGAAATGCTGATTCAGTGGACTTAAAATGCCTGTCCCAAAATGACATGTCTGTCACATTAGCACAAGCATTGGCTAATAGCAGATAGGGAGTGGTTTTTTGAAAGGATTGTTTTTAGGTTATTTAATTACATTGTGCTGTCAATTTACTATTGCTAGAAAGAAATTATCAGGGAGTTCCCTGTTAACCAAAATTCTATAAAGAGATACAATAGAGTGGAAAATATCAAGTTTTAATTGGTTTCCAGAGCAAGATTTTTTAGAAAACTGTCAAATTAAAAAAAAAAATGCCACACTGACAGATTTTATTATAGTACATGATTGTGCCAATCACATGTAATGGAGACTAACATTATGTATCTGGTAAAATATAATGGTTAGCAGTTTATACTCTTGAAAACTTCAGTGTAATAAAAATATATTTTTCTTAAAACTCTGTTGAAAATTAGTGTTTTATTTGAAATTTTATGTTTGTAAACAAAAACTGAGCTTTCATTACAAGAATTGGTTTGGAATGTTCCAAATGAGTTTTAAAATATACCATTTTTATTTGTAGTTTGTAATTATCAAAGAAAGAAAGACACTCCTTTTGATCTTGGATAAATGGTAAACAAGAATTATCTGTAAAAGTTGCCCAAAGTTTTCAAGATGTTGATTAATACGTTTAACTTAAAGAAAAATCATTGAGGTGAAAGAATGTGTTAAACAACAGTAGATTGGAATCAGAGTAGTTTTCAATTCATCATCTATGTGGCTAAGAGTGAATAAATTATATGAGCATTAAGCAGGGAGTTGAACTAGATAAATTGTGAAAATCCTCTATCTTTAACCTTCTATGATTATCAAAAGATCAAACCATAAATAGAAGTACCAGTAAGACCATTTGTTTCCTCAAGTTAATCCATTCTCGCCATATTAAACTATTCTTTGAGAATATCAGTTTACACAAATGGTATCATAAAGTTACTCTTGAGCTGCTAAAAAATACTATCTTCCATTTACTGGGAGATTAAATGTTATATGTCCATTTCTAATCAGAATGGTAAAAAAAAACCTAGTTTCTTCTCTATAATAATTAAAACTTAAATTTTATAATGCGTGGTATTTTGTTTTAATCGCCCTCCGTTTTTAGCTCCTTCACTTCTACTCTCTTACCTGATGTTAACATTTCCCTCCCTCCCTCCCTCCCTCCTTCCTCTGTCTCTCCCTAGCTCCCTCCTGCCTTTATTCCTTCTTCTTTTCTTTCTGGGAACTAGGGCCAGGCACTCACCATTTGCCGACTGTTTGTTTAGCGTCTTTTCTACTTTTATTAATTCAAGTTCAAGCTAGTCTTCATGTTCTCATGCTCCCTTTTCTTTCGTTCACAGTCTTACTCATTTGGGAAGCCTGAGCATCTGGCTAAGGTTGGGCTGGATTTGGCCTCATCAAGCTCAGTGTTCACACTAAGTTTTTTGTTTTGTTTTGTTTTTGTTTTTGTTTTTTTAGACAAAGTCTCACTCTGTGGCCAGGCTAGAGTGCAGTGGCGGGATCTTGGCTCACTTCAACCTCTGCCTCCCGGGTTCAAGCAATTCTCCTGCCCTGAGTAGCTGGGACTGCGGGCGTGCGCCACCATGCCCAGCTAATTTTTGTATTTTTAGTAGAGACGGGGTTTCACCGTGTTGGCCAGGTTCGCCTCGATCTCTTGACCTCATGATCCACCCGCTTCAGCCTCCCAAAGTGCTGGGATTACAGGCGTGAGCCACTGCACCCGGCCCACACTAAGTTTTTTAGAACACTGTGAACTGGGTTCTAATCCAGTCAAAGATAAAATGATCAATTCCTTTTTGGGGGATCTCATAGGGAACTCAGTCTTTGTTAAGGCAAAATCTCACCATTCCAGTGCATTCACCCCCAAATTCTAACATATTGCCATAGTGGACAATCACTTTAATAATAGCATCAAAAACCCACCATTACATATAAAACTCTGTTGTGTGATTAATGTATTCCTAAGTACGGAGTAATAGTTTAATAAACTTATATTTAAATCACTTTGCACAATATTGTGATCTGTTTTATTTTACCCTGGATTTTGGCTTCTCCATAGATTTATCATCACTATTATTCTAGTTCATCAAGTTGTATTTGACTTTTGATGTATTCATAATAAAATATTAATAATAATGTTTTTCAGATATTGTGAATCCTGAAGTATTTTATAAATTTTTCTAAGAAAAAGTGGCATTTAGCATAATTTTAGTGGTACTGAAGGCATATTATATATCTAATAACATTTATTTTAAAAAGAAATAGTATTCTTCATACTTGTTATGATTTTATTAACTATGCTTACTTCCCTGATGTTCCAATAAAGAAAATTAACTTTATTACAAATTAAAGAGAGAAAAATCTGAATATGAGAATAAAATGAATACTATCTAAAATTTGTAACTAAAAATATGAAAATTTAGTTCCAATACAGCATCTTTAATGTAAAAATGAGATAATTAGGGGATAAAACAATAAGCAAAAGCAAATTTTTAATAAGTTTTCTTATTGATAAACCTAGTAGCATTACATACTATCCATTTTCAAGTCAAGTGGCTCAGATTAGTTTCCAAACCTAATTCCCATAAAAAGGCTCAATGATATTAATTAACCTATTCATTTTAATGGGAATACATTACACTCATAATGACTCCATGAAGTCATTATGGATGAATGACTAACATCTCATTCTGTTCACTTCTTTCACTTCTACTAATACAATAAATATTTTGTACTCACGGAGTAGATTATAACAAAAAATAATATAAAGTATATCTTTTTCTCATATAAGTGGATAGAACTTTCAGCAGTTTTGATTTCTATGAGCATGTTATAGATGCAATAAAACATTCTTTTGAGTACTTCTAGAATAGTTCACTTATAGTAATGCCGTCTTAGAGTTATATGGAATCCATATACATATTACTATTTTTAGTAAATCTTAGAATATAATATAGCACCATGATATTATATTATGACCACTATATCATTGTACATGTATACTATATCACTATACCATGACCACTGTAGAATGCTTTCTCCAAGGAAAGAGCACATACCATGTATAGGATATAGTAGGATATAGGAATAATATAGATATTATTGAGTGAAAGAATAGTATGGCTGAATCAAATCTACTGTTTCTTGTCTACCATGGTAGAATCCTGGATCTGGTTCTGGTCAATAAACGTTTATAAAAGCAATCCACACTAATAAAGGATTTCAGTTTGGGGAGGAGAAGAAGGTTTTAAAATTTCTCAAAGTTTCAGAATATAGTGAGAATTATTTAGCTTGTGCCTCCAAGTTCCCTTAGGATTTACACAATTTTTCTACAGAACTTTTTAGAAACGAAGAAAAATGTACCAGCTCAAAATCCACATGAGAGTAAATGAGCTAGATACTTTAGGACATAGTATGGATAAAGGAATTTGATATTAAACTTCCTGAGAAATAGACTGGTAATAGCAATGAAACATTTTGTTGTCTTAATATTGGCAATTCAGGCTTATATCTGCCCTTCCAAGACATTTGTTCTTTTATGTAAATTTGCAAGCTTGAGTAACACAATGAGTATGTAAATAATTGGCATCATTATTAAAATGCAATATAGTAGTATTATATTTAGATATAATGGTATTATATGTAGTATATATATAAATATATATATAATACTACACAATGGTATTATAATTAGGTATTTTTCTATAGGAGTTCGAATACTAAGTGGGATGTGTTAACATTCTTCACATGATTTACCTTCAAAACAAGATAGTTTCAGAGCAGTCCTTTATCAGTCCCTCTGATAATGAGTATTTGTAGTTTAGGTATGTTTTCCTGTGAATATCGTTAGAACAGATAGAAAATAAGAGACACATGCAAAGTGGCCATGCTCAGTGGTAGCTCAAGTGTGTAAAACTACCCTTTTTGCATTTTAATAACAGATGTAAAACAATACCAATTATATCATAGACAACAGAAGAACTTTCTTCCTAAGCCTTTGAAGGACATGGCCCTAGGGAATTTTTATGCAGTTGTTATGTTTGTAAAGAAAGAATAAATATAAATCAATAAGTGTACTTGGGAAGGCATGGTTTCATGTGTGTGCATGTGTGTATGTGTGTGCATGCATTAGTCTTCATAAAATATTGCATTATATAATAAAGGGATAACTTCATTGCAAGCCTGTGCACTTGGATTTTCACAAATTTGACCAGAGTATAATGTAAAACGTCTTTTGAGATGGAATTATTAAAACTCGGTGAGAAAAATACTTCAAAAATTTTGCAATATTAGAGGAGCCATGAGTGAATGGGCACACATTTAAAGGTTTATTTAGGTGCTTCATCATGTCTTCAGCTTTTGCTTTAGATAATGTCCTTTGCTGTGAGGTTCCAGGTAAAATAACATGTATTCTGTGCTATGTCTCCTCTGAGAAGGTCACAGATGGGTTAAATAGAGAATTTTCAAAGAACATAAGAAAGTTTTATGATTCATTTAAAGGAGAAGTTACTTAGCCCTTTGAAAGGTAATTTTTACCCTTTCGAGAATAGAATGGAGGTTAGAGATTGTTTCATATTTTAATTTCTGCTATGTAAACTTCTTCAACAAATTGTGAGTGTGATTTTGTTGTTGTTGCTATTGTGGTTTGTCTGTTTGGGAATAGTGATAAGTCTCACCTGACCCCCTACCTTGCTGTCTGCAGTGCAGACATAATTGGAGTATATCACTTAACAGTGCAGAGGCACCTGGAAGCCATCATTCTGTGATGGACCCCGAACTGGACAGAAAACTTCCTCCCACCCTCCCTATACTTACACAACTACAGTGCAGGTACTGCAGCCCATCAGCAGCACTCATGGGTTCTGAGGCTTTGCTAACATGGGACAAAGACAACCAGCACTCTTGTCTTTGTAAGACCTACCTCATTTCTCCTTCCTAGAAATTCCTTCCTCAGGGCTTACTTAGCACATTGCCAGTAGGGTTCTCCATAAAGCACTCCATCTTTTAGCGTCTAAGGAGAGAGAAAGAGAAACAGCTGTAAAGACTTCAAATGGAAAAATGAACTCACATGGATATAGGACTCCTTAGCTGAAGTGACAAGGAAAACAGCCTCCTGGGAATTTGAAGATGCCTGTGGCTCTCGTGGGGTTTTCTCATGGCTATAGGGTTGAATATGGAGCTCATCTTTTCGACCCCTGAGATGCAGTGCTACTCTGGCAGACAGCTACAATTACAATGAACCATTACTTCCAATAATATGAAAATTTGCCTTTTTTAATCTTTGGAGTTTACCTTTCTGAAATTTAAATTTCATATCATTTGAAAATGAAACCGATGGAGGAGAGAAAGACAAGCTTCTGCAGGAAAGGAATGCCTGACTACCAAGTAAGTGAAGTATCTTATGAAGACAGGAGCCCCTTCTGGCACTTTTCCCTTCCATTTTATTTAAGGATTTATGGAAAAATTGGGTGAGATTATTTACCATATAGTAGGTAACTGGAAGAATGTGAGAAAATAAGACACTTCATAGAACGGTCCAGGCTTTTAAAGTTTAAGTTTAGTGATGTCACTAACACCATTACCATTACGTTCGTTTTATCTGGGAGACCTGCAATTCATGAGGTGTTTGTGACGTGCTATTCTTTTCAACAATGTGTGGCCATTAGGATCCTGTCAGGGTGATGTAGGGAAAATCTTTCCAGAGTTGCTCTGCTTTGTACACCAGTGGTCCTCTTCTCTATACTCTCTGTCAGTGAGAAGCAGCAAGATAAGAATCAACTACAAAGGGAATCTGATCATAAATTTTGAATTGATTGAGTGATAATATCTGATCAACACAGATACTCTTTATAAAGGATCTGGGCACAACGTGTAGCTGATAGTCTCCTTCCGGGTTAAAGCCAGAGGCAATAAATCTAATATCTTTGCATTTCATAGATTTCTCCTGAAGAACTTCTATATAAACGATGCCCTGAATGTACTATGTTTACTTACATGAGTCTCATTTAAGCTTTAGATTTCAACAGTGATGATCTTTTATTATTGAACAAGGATAAAAAAACAGGAGCAGGAAATGGTCTAGTAGGAGGCATTCTGTATTTCTGGTCAGCTGGCAAGCAAAACAGAATGAAACCACTTTCTCTCTCACATGCTGATTTAGGAGAACTGAAGGTAGTTTCCCAGGGCGTATATTTTTTAGGAACTCTCAGGGATATATCTATGCCTGGAACACAAACCTATATCCAAAATTTCTCCTAAAATTTATATAGGATTTTACAGCCTGGGCAACATGGCAAAACCCTGTCTCTACACAAAATAAAAAATTAGCTGAGTGCGGTGGCTCATGTCTGTGGTTCCAGCTACTTAGAAGCTGAGATGGGAGGATCACCTGAGCCCAGAGAGGTCGGGGCTGCAGTGATCTGTGATTCTCCCATCTCAGCCTTCCAAGTAGCTTCAATCACAGGCATGAGCACTATAAGACAGTGTACACTCCATCTCTCTCTCTCTCTCTAAATATATATATAGATAGATAGATATGCATAGATGTACATCTATGTGTATATATATAGATATGCATATATACACATCTATGTGTGTGTGTATATATATATATATACACATATTTCTTTTTCTATATATAGAGACAGAGAGAAAGAGAGATATCAATGGCAAATTTGGGTAAAATTAGTCTCTGCAGCTTCTAGAAAAACAGAATATTTTTAGAAGAGTTCTTCATGTCACTTTTAGGGAAATCGAAAAGGCAACTGGATATGTGTAAAGTTTGTCTTCTGTGAAAAAAAATTAGTGCTGATAGGTTTTCATTAACGTAAATGTGAAGTACACTTCTTCACGGGAAGGACTTAGTCCTGGACAAGGTAAATAGAAAGCAGGGATTGAATCTAATTGGAACTATTTGCAAGTGAGAACTATCTTAAAAGTTGGGTAAATCTGGTAAAGCACCTGTTGCTGGAACTCTGGAATCTCCTTGAAGAGTTTTGATGTTGGGCAGAACAGGAGGGAAACTCAGCCTTACCTGTGGATATCGAGAAAGTCCAGAGAAAAGTACCAGATGGGGCTGAGCAAAGAGCAGGATTAGTGCTCCGATTCTTAGTCTTTTAAAATGTGAAGGACGCTTGTTAACAGGAAAAAAAAAAGATAATCCTTATAAGCTGTTGTGCTTAGTATCTGCAAATAGAAAAAAAAATACTGTGAATTCAATGATGCATTTAAACGAATTTTTTATTCGTCATAATATTATTTGTACATATTCACAAAATAGGAGTGTAACCTTATAATCTAATCCCTCCAAGACTCAAAACTCTGTAGTTACAAATGAGGTTATATAAACAGTACCAAGTTGTGCTTCTTTGACTTACTCTGATTTATTCTTCATATCCCACAATCTCATTTCCTCCTCTCATTCAATCTTTTTCTAATTCAGGTGTTTCAGAGAATTTTGGTGATTTTCTCACATTCAGACATAAGCAGCCCTCCCATGTTCTTCCACTCTAGCGCCCTCATTAATGTCTGCTACTGCTAAAGAAGCCATTTTGCAGTGACTGCCTGGTGCAATCCCTGCAGTAACTTCCAGACTCAGAGGGATCAGTAACTTGTTGATTAGGGATCACCAAAGAAGATGATGAATGTGCTCGCCACTGTGTAGCTGAGTAGATCAATGGCCAGCAGATAGCTTCCTAGTTCTAAATGAAACCTGGTCTTTATTGGAAGCATTTGGCTCAGGAAGCCTTTTCAGGGGTGCAAATGTTACTCTCTCATGCCACAGGAATGGCATCCCCCTCAATTCCTAGTAGCACTTTCTAGAAGGCTAACCAAATTGTTGGCCTTCTTCCCAGAAGCTGTGTGTGTGTGTGTGTGTGTTTGTACGATTGTATGGTTTAAACAAACATTACCATTGCTGTGTAAGTACAATGCATTTTTGTTTGTTTGATGATCTTTGTTTTTGTCGCGAGTAGGTTTGACTATCCAACTATATAACTTAGCCTAGTTTCAGTTTCAATATGTGTCATCCATTGATTTTCTATATTGTCTAATTTTATACACTATACATTATATAGTACCTGGGGAAAATGTGATGAGGACTATTTGCAAGATAAGATGGACAAGAAGACAAAAGGTAGAAACAACCAAAATGTCCACCAATGTATGAATAAACACAATATTTTATGTCTAGAAGATGAAATATTATTCAGGCATGAAAGAGTAGAAGTACTGATACATGCTACAAGGTGAATGAATCTCAAAAGCATAATGCTAAATGCAGGTAACATATTGCATGATTTTATGTATATAAAAATATCCAGAATAGGTAAATCCACAGAAACAGAAAGCAGATTGTTATTTTTGGGGGACCAGGGAAAGAGAGGTTGGAGCATGAATGAGTACTTAATGGGTACAGAGTTTTCTACTGGGGTGATTTGAAACATGATAGAGGAGGTGGTGGCAAAATATTGTGAATTTATAAGTGCCACTGAACGGTATACTGTAAAATGATTAGTTTTATGTTACATAAATTTTAACTTAATAAAGAATTAAATCAGAAAAAGATTGATAGAATATTTCATTTTTTAAAAAAAGTAATAGGTTAGTTGTTCTAAAGTTATTCCTGTAGTAAATTTTATACTACAATAGTTGTGGTGTAAGAATCCCAGCTAAATTTGCATTTTTTAGTTTATCTATAAAGATAGTATGTAAAATATCCTTATAGAAGCCAGTCTTTTCAGCATCCAAAATCTGAAAATTCAAAATCCCAAATGCTGTAATGAGCATTTTTTGACTTTGTGAGTCATGTTAGCCCTCAGTCTCAGATTTTGGCACATTTTGAATATCAGATTTTTGGAATAGGGATATTCAACTTGTAACACCAAATAGCACTAACAACCACTATAGTGAATAAGCATAATATTCTGGGTTTTCAATTAGATCAACCTTTCTTTAAACATGCTTTAAAACCATTTGTTGCTTACGTTTGTTGTTAAAAGTCCTGCATCATTGAGATTCCTGCTTGTACTGTCAACTGCTTTGCTTCTCAAACTTTATTCAAGTCATATCTTTGGCTGCACATGTGAAAGGATATGTTAACAATAGTTAAATGGAGAGATTGAAATTTGGAACATGGAACAATTACAAAAACAAAATTCCCCTGTTGTCTGAGAATTAGATTCAGTTGGCCACTCTATTAAGCATGGTAGTCCTTTGCAACAGGATTGTCCACCACCCTGACCTCACTGTCATATCTTGCAGAAATAAGTAATTCCTCTCTGGTACTTGATTAATGATAATTTATACTAGTTATGGCATCTTATACGTCAACCTCAGCTGAATACTTTTAAAAAAATCACTGTAAAAGTATGTGTCCTCAGTTGAATCAGATGTAAAATTTATACCTTAATCAAAATTTGATAGCACTCGAAGACAGTGTACACTCCATCTCTATTATTCTCCTGTGCTCTCAAGCAGGGCACTCCCTTCTGTTAATTGAAGGCTTTGGGATTTGACATATAATTTTGGCCCACATCAGAGTTACTATAATGCTCATGTTAAAGACCCATAATGCTACTTAGTATGACTTTGCCTTCCTTTTTAAATTAGTTTTACTTCACCTCCACTTCCTCTCAGCAACTACTCCTAAACCAGACATATCATCCATCACTTCCCATTTCCTTGATACATCAATCCTTCTTTCATGTTTGCATAGTTTTTTGTGCTTATCATAATCTTGAGAGATTCTCTGTTTTATTTCTAAACTTAACCAAAAATAATCATTCAATTATAATGGTGTAATAAAATTTGGAGATTCCAGAAGAGTTACGTCAGCACAGCACAGTGTAGCGGACTGGAGGGGCAGGCTATGGAGCCTTCTCAAGTCAAAAGAATCTGCAATGGGTTCAAAGGATGACTCACCTTGAGATATTCAGAGGTAGGATGTTTTATAAAACATATTATGGGCAATTTAACATTTATCTGTCTATAAAAATATTATTTATAATAACCTCAGGCTTGAACATAAAGTGTTGCCACTAGATATGGTTGTGATTCTATCTGAGTCCAGAAGATGAATTTTCTTAAGTTTAAATGAATTATAAAAACACTGAAGCAAAATCTAACTTCTTTTGCCACAGATGTCTCTGGTATGATGAGAACACTAGAAAAAGGTCAATGCAGTATGGTAGAAAGAACTCTGAATTCATAGTGAGAAAAACTGAATTGAACTTTGGGTAATCTTTCAGAGTTTCTAAATTTTTAGGTGCTGATTTTTCTAAAATGGTGATAATGATGAACTGTATTACTGTACTTCACAAAATGTTCTTAAAATTTAATTGGGCAAAACAGCTGGAAGTACGTAGGACACCATAAAGGCTTACAGAGACATAAGAGAGTACGAGTCACATGCAATGATTTATATGGCATGTACATTTATGGATGTTATACATTTGTATATAAGTTAAATCATATGTTTGTATATAAGTTAAATCTATAAATTATTTCAATTAATTAAATTATAATTAATTTTAAATGGGAAACATTTTATAACTTTCAGCATAACTTCACTAATCTCTTCCTTTGCTCCTAAATTTTTCTCATCTTTTAACAGCTCACAACCTCTTGCTTACCAAAATCTCAAACTTTTTTCCAAAACTTCAGCCAAGAGTATCTTTGTATGCTCCTCACATGTCTCCATTGTTAGGTTGTCATTAGGTGGATTTAACCAATGACACTGGTCAAATCTCCTACCTTCTTCCTGTCTCTAAATAATTCTTATTTCCTATCACAAATAACTGGGTTACTGAGTGGCAAAGAGGAAGAATGAGAAAAATAACGAGAAGAGAAGAAACATTCTCATGTTAATTATGCTGCAATCAAACTTAAAATCATCAAGTTTAAAATCACTTAAAATTCAAAGTGATAATGATTATAAAGAAAATCCAAAAAGCTACAAAAATCATCAGTATTAATTAGAGCTCTTGGTTATTAAAGATACAAGAAATTAAGGTCTAAATACCTTGGGCAAAATGAGAAACGTGGGATGATACTAAGTTGTCTCATTTAATACTAGGAATGATAAAGTCATGTGGAGAGCCAAGATTCAATGGATTTCCAATACAAGGTTTGTTTCTCATAATCTCTCTCTTTCACGCCCCCCATCTCAACCCAAACCCCAGCTAACCATCTATGCTTTTTCCTGCCTGTATGTTGGCTATATTTTATGGTTACAAAGTGTATTACTCTATCAACCAAAAAATATTGTTGTCAACATCCTGCGTGTTTCAATTTTTGCAATTCTCAATACAAAATAAGAGGAACTTACTGGTGTGTGTGCTTCCAGTGTCCAAAGTTAAAAAAAAGAGAGAGAAAAAAGCTTTGTTTAGCCAAGTTTGAACCAGATCCATACCCCACTATACATCAATAGTGGTAGGAGGGGAAGAGAACTAAAAATATCACAGCACTCTTGTATAAACTCGTAGATGGGCTAAAGAGAGTAGCAATTCCCAGATTAAGGGAAAATATTTCTATCATTATGTTCCCAATAAAACCGAAATGAAAAACAGCACACGCACAAACATATTAAAATGTGATTTTTAAGTTGCTATTTTATATTTTCAGAAATGAATAGGAACAGCGTGTTCTATTTTTACGGTATAATTAATGTTTGGAATTCTCATTCCCAAGGTACTGAAAGAAGTCACATCAGATTAAAGAAATGTATAATGACCAATTATTTGTTTGCTAATTGTACTTTAAGGCATAAATTGTATTAGATGGTTCAGTACAGTGATTGTTCCTCAGTTAATAAAACCACCTTAAAAATTAATTGTTACCATATTTTATTTTCTACCCTCTTTTTGGTTTGACTCATTTAATGAAGGATTTTAAGGGAAACAATTCCTATAATCCTACGGGAGATTCTATTGCTATGGTTTAAGGTCCTTATTTATTACAATTATCACTAAATTTGTATAGATACATTGAAAGTTTCACACAGGATAATCAAAATATATAAAAATTATTTCCCCACCAGATTTATTCTAAAATTTAATACATTTCAAATGAAAAATTTTTGGCTAAATATTAAAAAATATTCTTAAAGTTGGGACAGATCAAGTAATGTTATGGAGAAAAGACATCACTGCAATACTTTGATAGTACCCCTTTAGCAACAACAACACAGGGCATGAGGTTCTAATTGTTCTTCAGTGAGCATCTAATGATTATTCCTAGCTGATTATGCCATTAGATAGTGAATAGATCAATATAATACCAAACAATTTATAATTTTAAGTACCCAATCTTTCATATATGTTTCTTCTAAGTTCGTGAGTTTTTACGTATCAAAAGATAACTCTTCTTATGCTTAATTAATCTGACTCTTTTTCAAGAAAAATATTAGAGTATTACCAGTGGTAGCCTCATGTCATCATCAGTAGGTTATATTTTACAATTTCAACCCGTGGTTTTGAGAAACAGACTAAGGTTAGAGTAAAACCTGGTCTGATTATAATTTTGTCTATTGCATTAGCCAATAATTCTGAACATCTATAGTATAATAACTGACGTTCAAAATTATGATATTCATGCACTATAGGAATCTAAAGTGCATGTGAATTATCAATGATTAAAGTATATTTAATATAGAGGTAAAATAAAATGTATTTTATTGATTTTTTTTTTTTTTAGTTTTCTCATTTCCCTCTCTGTATGCCTCTTCTCTAATTTTACTATTTCTCTATTCAAATCAGTCTGTGTTGGGGGGAAGTGGTAGCCTCTAATAATAAGAATATTGTTAGAAACTTTTTGTTGAATTAGACCTTTATGTCACATGATATAGAAAACACAAATCAAAGTAGATTAAAGACCTAAATGTACAACCAAAAGCTATAGAACTACTAAAAGAAAACATAGGGGAAGTCTCCATGGCAGTGATATTGGGCAATTATTTCTTTTGGATGTGATCCTAAAAGCATAAGCAACAATATTAAAAAATAGACAAATAAAAAAATAGACAAATTTGATGACATCAAACTAAAAAGCTTCTGCAAAGCAAAGAAAACAAATGAGTGAAGAGACAACCTATTGGATGGGAGAAAATATTTGCAAACCAGGCATCTGTTAAGGAGTTTATATCCAACATAAAGAACTCAAACAACTCAATCTTAAGAAAACAAACCATTAAAAAATGATCAAAGGATCTGAACAGACATTTTTCAAAAGAAGACATACAAATGGACAACAGGTAGGGGAAAAATGCTAAAAATTACTAATCATTGGAGAAATGCAAATGAAAATCACAGTGAGATATCACCTCACACCTATTTAGAATAACTACATCATAACGATGAAAGATAAGTGTTGGTGAGGATGTGGGGGAAAGGGAACTCCTGTACACTGCTGGGAGTGTAAATTAGTACAGCCATTATGGAAAACAGTATGGAGGGTCCTCAAAAAATTGAAAATAGAGAGTTCAAATGATCCAGCAACCCCACTACTAGATATATAGCCAAAGGACATTAATTCAGTATATATCTGCACTTCTATACTTATTGCAACATTATTCACAATAGCCAAGATACGGAATTAACCTAAGTATCAATCGATGTATAGATGGATAAAGAAAATATGGTACATATACACAACTATTCAGCCTTAAAAAAGGAAGGAATTCCTGCCACTTGAAACAACATAGATTATCCTAGAGGACATTATGTTAAGTGAGGTAAGTCAGACACTGTAAGACAAATACCACATGTTTTCACTCATATGTGGAATCTAAAAAAGTTGAACTCATAGAGAAATGAATGGTGATTACCAGGGGCTAGGAAGTAGAGAAAGGAGGGACTGGGGAGATGATGGTCAAAGAACCTAAAATATTAGATAAGAGGAGTAAGCTAAAGAGATGTGCTGTATGATGTGTTGACTGTAGTTAGTAACAATGTGTTTTATTCTTGAAATTACTGGAAAAGCAGATATTAGATTTTCTTATCACAAAAAATGACAACAATATGAGAAAATGCACATATGAATTATCTCAATTTAGCCATTCAACAATTTATATATATTTCAAAACAACATGTACATGATACATGTATACAATGTTTATTTATCAATTTTTAAAGCAGCCCCTTTTTTATTTATTATACTTTAAGTTCTGGGATACATGTGCAAAATGTGCCGGTTTGTTACATGGGTATACATGTGCCATGGTGGTTTGCTGCACTCATCAAACCATCATATAGGTTTTAAGCCCCGCATGCATTAGATATTTGTCCTAATGCTCTCCCTTCCCTTGCTCCCCACCCCCTGGCAGTCCCTGGTGTGTGATGTTCCCCTCCCTGTGTCCATGTTTTCTCATTGTGCATCTCCCACTGATTATTGAGAACATGCAGTGTTTGGTTTTCTGTTCCTGTGCTAGTTTGCTGAGAATGATGGTTTTCAGCTTCACCCATGTCCCTGTAAAGGACATGAACTCACTCATTTTTATGCCTGCATAGTATCCCATGGTGTATATGTGCTACGTTTTCTTTATCCAGTCTATCATTGATGGGCATTTGGGTTGGTTCCTGTTCTTTGCTATTGTGAATACTGCTGCAATAAACATATGTGTGCATGTGTCTTTATAGTAGAATGAATTATAATCCTTTGGGAATGTACCAAGTAATGAGATTGTTGGGACAATTGATATTTCTTGTTCTAGATCCTTGAGGAATTGCCACACTGTCTTCTACAATGGTTGAACTAATTTACACTCCCACCAACAGTGTAAAAGTGGAAAGATTTTACACTGTAAAAATGGAAAGATTGCAAAAATTTCTCCCATTCTTCTGTAGGTTGTCTGTTCACTGTGATGATAGTTTCTTTTGCTATGCAGAAGCTTGTTAGTTTAATTAGATCTCATTTGTCAATTATTGCTTTTCTTGCAATTGCTTTTGATGTTTTAGTCATGAAGTCATTGCCAATGCCTATGTCCTGAATGATATTGCCTAGGTTTTCTTCTAGGGTTTTTATGGTTTTCGATTTTATGTTTAAGTCTTTGTGGTTTTTTTTTGTTTTTTTTTTTTGAGATGGAGTCTTGCTCTGTCGCCCAGGCTGGAGTGGAGTGGCACGATCTCGGCTCACTGCAAGCTCTACCTCCCAGGTTCACGCCATTCTCCTGCCTCAACCTCCCAAGTAGCTGGGACTACAGGTGCCCGCCACCATGCCTGGCTAATTTTTTGTATTTTTAGTAGAGACAGGGTTTCACTGTGTTAGCCAGGATGGTTTTGATCTCCTGACCTCGTGATCCACCCACCTCATCCTCCCAAAGTACTGGGATTACAGGCGTGAGCCACTGTGCCTAGCCCCATGTTTAAGTCTTTAATCCATCTTGAGTTAATTTTTGTATACAGTGTAAGGAAGGGGTCTGGTTTCAGTTTTCTGCATATGTCTAGCCAGTTTTCCCAGCACCATTTATTAAATAGGGAATCCTTTCCCCATTGCTTGTTTTTGTCAGGTCTGTCAAAGAGCAGATGATTGTAAATGCATGGTGTTATTTCTGAGGCATCTGTTCTGTTCCACTGGTCTATATATCTGTTTTGGTACCAGTACCATGCTGTTTTGGTTACTGTAGCTTTGTAGTGTAGTTTGAAGTCAGGTAGCATGATGCCACCAGCTTTGTTCTTTTTGCTTAGGATTGTCTGGGCTATACAAAAAGCAGCTCTTTTTCTTTATATCATCAAGTAAATAGGAAATTTAATAAAATACCATTCCACCCTTCATTATATGTAATTAGAAATCTTGTATATTCATCATAAATCCATCTTGCACTTTCCAGGTTAGTATAATAGCTTCATTTAAAATGCATAAGGCATGGCTTTGACTACAGCAGGACAGGAAACAGTGGGAGGAAATGGTCATAGTTCTTGGGGGCTATAAAGGCTTTTTTTTTAAATTAAGTTTTCTAAAGATGGAGAGAAGAATCAAGCAAGAGTTGCATTTAATCTGAAATAAGGCAGTTTTCCAGAAGGATATAATAACTTTTGGGGACTGCATATATATTTAAAAATTGCTGCATTAGCTTTACCAACATTATCAGCATCACTGATTTTCTTGCCAAAATGCGTTTATTGCCATCTGTTATTTACTTTTAAAATAGATTTAGAGTAGATTTAGATTCACCACAAACTTGTACAGAAAGTTCTCATACACGCCTTCCCTCCACTCCCACCAGGCTCTCCCAGTATCAACATCCCCCACCAATGTTGTACATGTATTACAATAGATGAACTTACATTGCCACATCATCATCACCCAATTCATTGATTACATTAGGATTTATGGGTTTTGATAAATGTGTAATGACATGTGTCTACCATTATAGTAACATACAAAATAGTTTCACTACCCTAAAAATCTTCTAGGCATGGCCTATTTATTCCTTTATTTTTTCAAGCTGTGACAACCACTGATCTTTCTTCTCTCTCAAGTTTTGCTTCTTCAGAAATGTCATATAATTGGAATCATACTGTATGTTGGCTTTTCAGATTGGCTTCTTTCATTTAGTAATGGGCACTTAAGATTCCTCCATGGCTTGATAGCTCGTGTATTTTTAGCACTGAATAATATTACATTGTCTGGATATACCACCATTTATTTATCCATTTACCTACAAAAGGGCATCTTGGTTATTTCTAAGTTTTGGCAATTATGAATAAAGTTTCTATAAACACCACATTTTTACATGAAAATAAGTTTTCAACACCTTTGAATAAATACCAGAAAGTAAGATTTCTGGGTTGTGTAGTAAGAATATGTTTAGTTTTGTAAGAAACTTCCACATTTTCTTCCAAAATGGCTGTACCATTTTGCATTCCCAGCATTGAATGAGAATTCCTGTTGCTCCATATCCTTGCCAGCATTTAGTGTTGTCAGTGTTTTGGATTTTGGCCATTATAGTAGTTCCATAGTGGTATCTTCTGTTAGTATTTATATTCTTATTACTAAGAATATAATGTAATATAAAATATAATATGTAGTGTAATATAATTCTTATAACTAAGAATATTCTTATTATTAAAGAACTTTCAGTAACATAGCTATGCCAAGTTCTAAATGAAAGTTGACTCATAAAACACAGCCAGAACATACAGTTAGAAACCCAAGACATTGAAAAAAGTGTATTAAGATAAGGTTATTTACTTTCTCTATGCCTGAACTATTTGTGAGCATTTAAAAATATTTGGTAAAATGGTAGATTTACTTAAAACTATATAGTAAAATTATACTAAAGAAGAGACCAAATTGAAATGATTTCTGAAACTAATAAAAGAAATTTGTGAATCTTCTGCATATTGAGGGCTGTGGGTACTAGAAGGCAAGTCATTGTTTCAAGGTATTTTAATTCAATATTTTCCCCATTAACACCATTTTTAAAACAACAAAAGAAGTAGGCAAACCTGTTGACACTATACCAGATAGAGAAAAAAACCTATGAGAACATAAGAAACTTATGCTTTACACAACAGGGATGTATTGACATGGCTTGCTTTTTTTTTAAAGTTAGAGATGCTTAAAGGACACATCATATTTACACACGTTCATGTGTCCTGTGTTTTTTAAATTACAATTTTACCCTCTGCTCTACAAAACAAAACCTATACATGGCTTTCTAAGCATTAATATATGAAGTCTAGATTTCTACAGCGTGGTACCCCTGCCCCCCATCTCTCAATGCATCATATTGTTATTTCCTTTCATATTTACTTGTTTATTTTCTCTATGTTTCTTTTGCCTTTTACTGTATATAAATTTACATTTTAAATAAAAAATTACTTATTCTTAACTACCAGTATCACAAACCTCATCATGACAAGGCAGTTTCAAATTCTCTGTAGACAACTCAAATAAATTTGTAAAGCAATTTCAAAATACTGTCAAGAATATGGGTTGTGAAACTTTTAGATTAACATAATTTATAGGAAATTTTGACTTGATATTTTATGGTTATACTCAAAGAATATATGACAAAATATACAGAAATTCTAAAAGTCATAAATAGTATACTTATTTCAGCAAGCAAGAAAATGGCATTAATAACATACAAGGTATCAAGAATTTATATTTGCTATCATTTTAATAATTTAATTTTAGCAGTAACTTTATGAAAGATGTATGATTTTTCCCACTTTCTAATGAGAAACTGAGGCAGGCAGCTTTATAAATTGGGGATTTCAGTGTATATATTCATGAATTGGGTGATAATCAACAAACATTTGATTGCTTAGCAATTATGTGCTCTAATGTTTTATTGTAAAGGAATAATAGTTATACATTTTATATTTTTGAATTAATAATAGCAAAAATAAAATTTCTGATTAAAGCTTTTCATATACTATACCAACATTTTAGATGTTACTGAGAGTTTGGATAATTTAAAATTATTTTTATTAAAGAAAAGTTTCCCTAATAAACATGCTTTCTATATAAACATAGTTGAAGACTTTCTTCTAAAAAGAGAATTTCCAAATTACTTCTCTATGTCCTCTATTAAAATAGATATCCTTTAAAACAGACAAATCAAGCTTTTCTCAATTTGTCAGCCGTAGGGGAGTTACATTGTTCAGAAAGAAATAAGATGGATATTCTAAATAGAATGTTTTTGGATGCCTTTCATGAGACATCAGTGGCCCTTAAAAGAGAGTTTATTGATTCTTCAGGCGGTACCCGAGGCAGCCCAAGATCTATTGCTCTGTCACTTTAAAAGCGGCAGCAGACGTGTTGCTTTTCCTAGGAGATCATTCTCTTAAGACTTGAAAATTTCTACAAACCAATTGCATCTGTCATCCCCTGCTTGATCCACTGAGTCCCAGAGGCCATGTCTGAATGGTTAAAAGCTATATTTTTGCTCAAAATACTTGTTGGAACAAATTCATTTTTAGGGCAGAGACTCTGTAAATGAAAACGAAGCATTCAGACCTGTAAACATCAACAAGAGGAGCTATGACCAGGAAGGAGGCAGACTTGGTGGGATTCTACGAAAGACAAACGAGAATCATGGCCCTAGATCACCTGGTACAGCATCTCAGAGATACAATCAGTGTCTTTGTGAATACTTCTAGGAAAGGGAAGTTCATTATTTCTTGAGAAAATAGATTTCATTTGGAAATAGAAAAACTTTTAATGGATGATTTTTATGTTATTCCAGAATCTGGCTTCCTCTAAATTGAAATTATTGTGACTAGTTCAGTACTTTGAAAACTGCTATCTGGGTGATATAGACTAAACACGTTCCCCATCATCTTTGTATTTACAGCATAGTCATTTACTATCCTTGTCTGTTTCATTGGGAAGCACTGGATTTTACAGGACTTTTTAGTTGCCAATTGAAATAAATTACAAAACTCTAAGTATAAAGAAAGGGTGGGTAAAACTTTTAAGTAGTTTTGGATCAATGTCTAAAATAATCAGAAGGACTCACAGATCCTTCTTCCAGATTTCAGCTTAAAATTTTGTTGTTCATTGTATCAAGAATTTCTGAAACATAAAGATTGTCGTTTTTCTTTCTCAAGAGGAAAGCATTGTAAATATGTTTAGGTGTAGATACTAAATATGTTTTAGATTATATGATACTTTTTAGAGTAGATATTAGAGATGAGCATGTGTTTACTCTCAGATGCTAACCTTAAAAATTATTACATGTTAGAGTTACTTTTGGAGTTAGCTTTACTAACTAATCTAATTGTGTCAGTTAAAATACATATCTTTGCTTTTAATGAACAGGTGTTCATATTCCTATGAATGCACCAATTAGGAATCAAGCTCCATTTCTGAAGTTGTAATTTTGGAGAAATGGTGCAGTGCAACAAGCATGAGCTCTGGAGTCAAACTATTTGATTTGCTTCCTTCTTTCTCAATTCACCTCAAATGAATATGTTTCTCTTTCAAGAGTGTGTTTGTTATGTTTGCTTAATATGATTTGCTCATATACTAGACTAACCAAGATAAACTACTAAACCTCCTTTCTTTGCACCTGGTGCCAGATATAATCATTGGTAATGTAAGAAAATAGATAAATGGAGTGGAACCCAATGATATTCACTGTTCATTATTAGTGCAGAAGACTCAGTACTGAAATTGGGACTATAGCTCAGAAACATGGCACATAAAAAGATATCCTCTGTACCTGCTGTGGTGTGACCTCAGTTTTAGGAGATACACTACCCAAGCTTTGATTTGACTTCATGTCTCTCTTTCTAAGGACTATATCTTTCAGTTGGTCAATTAAATAATTCTACTATGGCACAAATGACAGTGTGATATTCCCCAACAGCTTCCTGGTATAAAACCACCTAAAATATTAGAAAATATTTAAAATTAGCCTTCCAATAGCAAGATATTAAGGAAATTCTCAGAAGCTTAAATCTAGAGAAGTTGCCAAGCACTTTAGATAGGTGTTGCCCTCAGGGCCTTGTCAATTGACTCTTTTTGTCCCCAGAGTTTCAGTTTCAAGGGCCGTATGTGGGTGACGAACGTTAGAACTTGTATTGTGAACAGGTGAATTAGAGATTCAGAATTAAGCCAGAATCTTTACAGAATGACACACTCTTTGGTTGAAGTGAGAAAACCTATCATTTAGTTGGGAAATATTAAGGGATCTTTGCCTTTGGATGGATAGAGAATACAGAAAAAAAAAACCCAAAAAACAAAATAAAACAAAACAGAAAACCTCTCTTGAGAATTCGTAACCACTTTTCCTGGGTTGGGAACTAGAATAACATTAATTGGTCCTGAAACCTCAAACCAGAAAACTTATTTTAAATGGATCCTCAAATCCAAATAAAAGTATATGCAAATCACTGGAGAGAAAACACGCTCAATATTATCCTCAAGGTAATCCCAAAACAAAATTCTAAGGAACATGATTTCTCAAAAACAACAACAAAAATTCATAAGACACATGAGGAAAGAAATAAGCTTCTGTAAGGGTCAACAAAATCACAAACTACAGAATGAGAAAACTGCAGATATCAGAATTGTCATCACAGAGTATTAAATAAGCTTGCTAAATATGTTTAAAGAAATAAAAAATGTATCAAAATTATGACTAAGTGATAAGACTCAACCAAAATTATCAAGTAGAACTGAATAAAAGAACGTTATAGAACTTTTGGAAAAAAAATACATATATATAAAACACAAAGTTTAGGCTAAACCCAAAATCAGATGCAATGAAGGGAAAATTAATGCAATAAAAATAAATCAGGAGAGATATATCCAGAATGCAAAACAGAAAGATAAAGATTAAAAAACTATGTAAGACAGGTTAGGAAACATGCAGATTGAAAAGTTCTAACATTCACGCATTCATCAAATTGAATTCAAAAAAATATTAGAGAGATTAAGAATAAGTAACAGAAGCTTCTTTTTTTTTTTGAGACAAGGTCTTGTTTCACCCAGGCTGGAGTGCAGTGGCATGATCATAGTTCACTGCAATCTGTAACTTCAAGGTTCAAATGATTCTCCTGCTTCAGCCTTGGAGTAGCTGGGACTACAGGCACACCATCATGTCTAGCTAATTTTTTTTTTTTTTTGGAGAGCCAAGGTCTTGTTATCCTGGCCCAGTCTGGTCTGGAACTTCAGGCATCAAGCAATTAGACATTTTCAGAAATAAAAGAAATGAAAATCCCAACGTAGAATAAATGAATCTTAAAATTTCCAAAGCAAGATAAATAAACAAAAGTCTATGCCTACACACATGAACCTGCAGAACAGTAAAGAAAATTATCAAAGCTGCCAGGAATGTGACAAAACAGCTTACATTCATAGGAAGAATAACTAACAACTAATGTACATTAAAATATTGTTGACTGTAATCACCCTGTTGTGCTATCAAATACTGGATCCTATTCATTCTATCTAACTACATTTTTGTGGTCATTAACCATCCCCACTTCCCTTTGTCCCCTACTACCCTTTCCAGACTCTGATAACCATCATTCTATTCTCTATCTCCAAGGGTTCAATTTTTAGCTCCAACACATGTGTGAGAACATGTGAAATTTGTCTTTCTGTGCCTGGCTTATTTCACTTAACATAATTACTTCCAGTTCCATCCACGTTGTTGCAAATGACAGGATCTCATTGTTTTTTATAGCAGAAAACTGCTCAATTGTGTATAAGTACCATGTTTTCTTTATCCATTCATCTATTGATGGACGCTTAGGTTGCTTCCAAAGTTTAGCTATTGTGAACAGTGCTGCGAGAAATATGAGAGAGTGGATATCTCTCCCATATACTGATTTCTTTTCTTTTGGGTATATACCCAGCTGCAGGATTGCAGGATCATATGGTAGCTATATTTTTAGTTTTGTGAGGAACTTCCAAACTGTTCTCTATAGGGGTTATATTAATTTACATTCTCAGTGTACAAGTGTTCCCTTTTCCCCATATCCTCGCCAGCATTTGTTATTGCCTGTCTTCTGGATATAAGCCATTTTAACTGGGGTGAGATGATGTTTCATTGTGGTTTTGATTTGCATTTCTCTGATGAACAATGATGTTGAGCACCTTTTCATATGCCTGCTTATTATTTGTATATCTTCCTTCGAGAAATGTCTATTCAAATCATTTGCCCATTTTTTTATTGAAATGCTAGATATTTTCCTATAGAGTTGTTTGAGCTCTTTATATATTCTGGTTATCAATCTTTGGTCAGATGGATAGTTTGAAAATATTTTCTCTCTTTCTGTGGGTTGTCTCTTCATTTTGTTTATTGTTTCCTTTGCTGTGCAGAAGCTTTTTAACTTGATGTGATCCCATTTGTCAATTTTTGCCTTGGTTGAGTGTGCTTGTGGGTTATCACTCAAAATATGTTTGTCCAGACAAATGTTCTGGAGTTTCCTCAATGTTTTATTGTAATAGTTTCAGAGTTTAGGGTCTTATATTTAAGTCTTTAATCCATTTTGATTTGATTTTTGTATACGGTGAGAGATAGGGATCTAGTTTCATTCTTCTGCATAAGGAAATCCAGTTTTCCTAGCACCATCTATTGAAGAGATTGTCCTTTCCCCAGTGTATATTCTTGGCATCTGTATTAAAAATGAGTTCCCTATAGATGTATGAATTTCTATCTGGCTTCTCTATTCTTTTCCATTGGTCTATGTGGGTTTTTTTTTTGTTGGGGGGTGGGGTGGTTTGTTTGATTTTTGTTTTTGTTTTGCCAGTACCATACTGTTTTGGTTACTATAGCTCTGTAGTATCTGTAGTATAATTTGAAGTCAGGTAATGTTATTCCTCTGTTTTTTTTCTTTTTGCTCAGGATGGCTTTGACTATTCTGGTTTCTTTTTTGTTCCTTAGAAATTTTAGGATTTTTTCTATTTCTTTGAAGAACATCATTGGTATTTTATAGGGATGCATTGAATCTGTAGATTGCTTTGGGTAGTATGGACATTTTGACAATATTGTTTCTTCTAATTCATAAACACAGAATACCTTTTCATTTTTTTCATGTCCTCAATTTTTTGCATCAATAGTTTATGGTTCTCATTGTAGAGATCTTTTGCTTCTTTGGTTAAGTTTATTCCTAGGTATTTTATTTTATTTTTAGCCATTGTAAATGAGATTATTTTCTTGATTTCTTTTTCAGATACTTCCCTCTTGGCATGTATAAATGCTACTGATTTTTGAATGTTGATTTTGTATTCTGTAACTTTATTGAATCTGTTTATCAGTTACAATGGCTTTTGGTGGAGTCTTCAGGTTTTTCCAAATATAAGATCATATTATTGGCAACCAAGGATAATTTGAATTCCTTCTTTCCAATTTGGATGCTCTTTATTTCTTTCTCTTTTCTGATTGCCCAAGCTAAGACTTCCAGGAATATATTGAATCATGGTGGTGAAAGTGGAAATTCTTATCTTTTCCCGGAACAGAGGAAAGACTTTCAATTTTTTCCCATTCAGTACAACACTAGCTGTGTGTCTGTTGTACACGGCTTTTCTTGTGTTGAAGTATGTTCCTTCTAACCCCAATTTTTTGAGGGCTTTTATCATGAAGGAATATTGAATTTCATCAAGTGATTTTTCAGCATCAATTGAAAAGGATCATGTGGTTTTTTTTCTCTTTATTCTGTTGATATGAAGTATCACATTGATTTATTTGCATATGCTAAACCATACATGCATCACTGAGATAAATCCTACTTAGTCATGATGAATGATCTTTTTAATATGTTGTTGAATTTGGTTTGATAGTATTTTGTTGAAGATTTTTGCATCACTATTCATCAGGGATATTGGCGGGTAGTTTTCTTTTTGATATGTCTGTCTAGTTTTGGTATCAGGGTAATGCTGAACTCATTGAACGAGTTTGGAAGTATTGCCTCCTCCTCTAATTTTTGGAATAGTTGGAGTGGGATTGGTATTAGTTTCCTAAATGCTCATTAAAATTCAGCTGTAAAGCCATTGGTTGCTAGGCTTTTCTTTGCTGGCAGGCTTTTTATTATGGTTTCAACCTCATTACTTCTTATTTGTCTCTTCAGGTTTTTAATTTCTTAGTGTTTCATTCTTTGTAGGCTGTATATGTTTAGGAATTTATCCATTTCTTCTAAATTTTCCCATTTATTGGCATATAGTTGCCCATGATAGTCTCTAATGATCCTTTGATTTTCTGCGGTATCAATTGTAATGTCTCATTTTTCATCTCTGATTTTATTTGTGTATTTCTTCTCTCTTTTTGTAGGTATTCTGGCTCAAGGTTTGTCAATTTTGTTTATCTTTTCAAAACACCAATTTTCATTCCATTCTGTTTTTCATTTGAATTTCATTTATTTCTGCTGTTATCTTTACTATTTCTTTCCTTCTACTAATTTTTGGTTTGGTTTGCTTGTATTTATCAAATTCTTTAAAATGCATTATTAGGTTGTTTATTTAAAGTTTTTCTATTTTTTTGCTGTACGTGCTTATTACTATAAACTTACATCACAGTACTTGCTTTCCTTGTATCTCACAGGTTTTGGTATGTTGTGTTTCCATTATCATTTATTTTAAGAAAATTTTCAGTTTTCTTTTTAATTTCTTCATTGACCCACTGGTCATGCAGGAGCATACTGCTTATTTTCCATGTGTTTGTATAGTTTCCAAAATTCCTCTTTTTATTGATTTCTAGTTTTATTCCATGTTGGTTGGTCAAAGAAGATAATTGATAGGATTTAAATGTTTTTGAATTTTTTGAGACTTGTTTTGTGACCTAACATATGATCTATCCTTGAGAATAATCTATGTGCTGAAGAGATGAATATGTGTTCTGTAGCCATTGGAGGAAATGTTCTGTAAATACCTATTGGGTCAATTTGGTCCACAGTGCAGATTAAGTCTGATATTTGTTGGTTCATTTTTTTGTTTGGAAGATCTGTCCAATGCTGAAGTCTCCAGCTATTACTGTATTGGAGTCTATCTCCTTCTTTAGCACTAATAATATTTGCTTTATATATCTGGGTGCTCCAGTGTTGGGTGCACATATAATAACAATTTGTGTATTCGCTTGCTGAGTTGACTCCTCTATTATTATATAATGATATTTTGTCTCTTTTTATAGGTTTTGTCTCGAAATATATTATGTCTGATATAAGTATAGTTACTTCCACTATTTTGGTTTCCGTTTGCGTGGAATATCTTTTTTCTATCTCTTTATTTTAGTTCATTTACAGTCAGTGTTATTATTGATAAGTAAGGAGTTACTCCTGTCATTTTGTTGTTTTCTCCTTCTTTCTTCTCTTTCTTTCTTTCTTTCTTTCTTTCTTTCCCTTCCTTCCTTCCTTCCTTCCTTCCTTCCTTCCTTCCTTCCTTCCTTCCTTCCTTCTTGCTATCTTCCATTTTGTGATGGTGATTTTCTCTGGTTTTAATTTTTATAGTTTCCAAAATTCCAAAATTTCATGTTTTAACTTCTTGCTTTTATTCTTTGTGTGTCTGTTGTAGTTTTTTTGATTTGAGGTTACCATGAGGCTTGCAAATAACATCTTATAACCCATTGTTTTAAACTGATGACAACTTAACACTGATTTCAAAAACAAACACAGAGAAAACTAATAAAAACTCTACACTTTAACTTCATCCCTCCTGCTTTTTAACTTTTTATTGTTACTCTTTATGTCTTATACTGTCTATGTAGTGAAAAGTTGTTGTAGTTATTGTTTTTTATAGGTTCATTTTTCAGTCTTTCTACTGAAGTTGTGAGTAGTTTACATACCACAATTGCAGTGCTATAATATTCTGTGGTTTTCTGTGTACTTACTATTATCAATGAATTTTGTTCATTCAGATGACTGATACTTGTTCATTAACATTTCTCCTTTCAGATCGAAGAACTTCCTTTAGCATTTCTTGTAGGACAGGTCTGATGCTAATGAAATCCCCCAGCTTTTACTTGATTGGGAAAGTCTTTTATGTTTGAAGAATATTTTTACTGGATATACTATTCTAGGATAAAAGTATATATATATATATTTTTTTCTTCAGCACTTTAAATACGTCATGTCACTCTCTTCTGGCTTCAGAAGACTGAGAAGTCTTCTGTCAGGTGTACCTAAGCTCCTTTGTATACTATTTCTTTCTTTTTTCTGGTGCTTTCAGGGTTCTTTCTTTATTCTTGACCTTTAGGAGTTTGATTATTAAATGTCTTGAGGTAGTCTTATTTGGGTTAAATCTGCTACATATTCTAGAATCTTTTTTACTTTAATATTGATATCTTTCTCTAGGTTTGAGAAGTTATCTTATTATTATCCCTTTAAATAAACTTTCTATTTCAATCTCCCTCTCTCTCTCTCTCTCCCTCCTCTCTAAGGTGAATACCTCTTAGATTTGCCTTTTGGAGGCTATTTTCTCATCTTGTATGTGTGCTTCATTTTTTTTTTAATAATTACTGTTTTTACTTTTGTGTCTGACTTTGTATTTTCAAATACCCTGCCTTCAAGCTCAGGAATTCTTTTTGCTTGGTAAATTCTGCTGTTTTGAGACTCTAATGCATTCTTCAGTATGTCAGTTGAATTTTTAGCTCCAAAATTTCTGCTTGACTTTTAAAAATTATTTCAACCTCTTCATTAAATTTACCTGACAGGATTCTGAATTCCTTTACTGTGTTATTTTGAATTTCTTTGGTCTTCCTCAGAGCAGCTATTGTGAGTTCTGTCTGAAAGATCACATATCTCAGTCTCTCTAGAATTGGTCACTGGTACATTATTTAGTTTGTTTGGTGAGGTCATGTTTTTCTTTCTGTTCTTGATGGTTCTGAATGTTCATCAATATCTAGGAATCAAATAATTAGGTATTTATTGTACTCTTTGCCATCTGGGCTTATTTGTACCTGTCCTCCTTGGGAAGGCTTTTCAAGTACTGGAAGGGTATTACCCAAGGCCCATGGCCACCACTGCCTGCCTACTGCCAATGCCCATTTACAGCCCAAAGTCTCTTTAGTCAGTAGGTGGCAAATATAGCCCAACTTGTTTCCTTCCCTTTAGAGTGATGAGCTCACCCCCAAGATCAGGATTGTTCCAAAAATGCCATCTGGGAGCCAGGGCCTTGAGTCAGGAACTAGAGGTATCTACTTGGTACTCTATTATACGGTGGCTGAGCTGCCACCCAAGCCACAAGACAAAGTCCTTCCTGCTCTTCCCTTTTCTTTCCTCAAGCAGAAGGGGTCTCTTCCCATGTGCACTACTGCCTCAGGCTCATGGTGAGTACTAATTGGTTACCACCGATGTTTACTCAAGGTCCAAGGGTTCTTCAGTCAGTTTGTGGTGAATGCTGCCAGGCTTGTGTCTTTTCCTTCAGAGCAGTGGGCTTCCCTCTGGCCTAGGGCAGGTCAAGCAATGTGGTGCAGGAGTGAAGGCCTAGAATCAGGGACCCCAGGAAACTCCTTGTTACTCTACACTGCTGTGGCCAAGCTGGTACCCAAGCTGCAAGACAAAGTCCCCTTTAATCCTTTTCTCTCCTTTCCCCCAGCAGAAGGGGCGTCTCCCCTTGGCCACCACATCTAGGAATGTGCTGTGTCACACCTTAAGCCAGCACACCACTGGGTTTCACCCAAAGCCTGCGGTGAGTATTGCCTGGCTGCTATTGACGTTTATTCAAAGCCTAAAGACTCTTCAGTCAGCAGATGATAGATACTGCCAGAAACAAGTCCTTCCCTTCAAGAAAGTGTGTTTCCTTCTGGCCCACAGTCTATCAAGAAATGTCTCATGGGAACTAGGGCCTGGAATGAGTGCCTCAGTACTCTGCCTGGTGCTCTACTGTATTGTGATTCAGCTGGTATCCAAGCTGCAAGACAAAGTCCTCTTTATTCTCTCCTCTCCTCTTCTCAAGCAGAAGGAAGGAATCTCTTTCAGAGCTGTGAGCTCTGCTGCCTCAGGTTGGGAGAGGGATGATGTGAATACTCCCTTGGCTGCCCTGGCTGGTGTCTCACTAGGTGGTTTGCACTGCAAGTCCACTGGCTCCAAACCCAGCACAGCACCAGGACTTGCCCCAGAATTGCAGTGCTTATGGCCTAGACAGTCCTTCAAGTTTATTCAGAACTCCAGAGCCCTTTAACTGATGGTGGTGAGACTTGTAGGAACTCAGGTTCTGATTGCTGACGGTTAATTTTCCTCCGACTAGGGTGAGTCTAAATCCTCCCTCTGTGCATGGGTGTTGGCTGAGTTCTGCCTGGTTTTGCTTTCTGTTGTGACAGGGCAGTGGTGAGTTTCAATGCAAAGTGCACAATGACTGCACTCTCCCTTTCTCAAGTGAACAGATTTTCTCTTCCCACCACGTGGCTGCTGCAGGGGGTTGAGGTAGAGGTGGAATTGGCAATTCAAGACTGCCTTTCCTGCCCTCTTCAGTGCCTCTCTCAGCAATATGACATTTAAATCAGGTGTTGTGATCACTAACCTGATGTTTGGTTCTTATGAGTGTGATTTCTTGTGTGGATAATTGTTCGATTTGGTGTTCCTGCATGGGGAATGACTGCTAAAGGGTCAGCCATCTTGCTTCTCCAGATCTTTAGTCTGATTCTAATAAAATTCCAATAGCTTATTTTAATATGGTAAAGATATCTTTCAAAATTATATAGAAGAACTAAAGTTTGAAAAACAAGCCAAATAAACTTAGCATTAAAAAATTCTATTTTTGACCAGGCACAGTGGTTCATGTCTGTAATTTCAGCACTTTGGGAGGCCAAGGCAAGAAGATCGTTCGAGCTAGGAGTTTAAGACCAGCCTGGGCAACGTGGCAAAATCCCATCTCTACAAAAAATACAAAAATGAGCCAGGCTTGGTGTTGTATGCCTGTAGTCCTAGCTACTCAGCAGGCTGATGTGCGAGAATCACTTGAGCCCAGGAGGTCAAGGTTGCAAGGCTTCATTGAGCCATAATTGTGCCACGACTCTCCAGCTTAAGTGACAGAATGAGACTCTCTCTCTCTATATATATATAATATGTAATATAATATAAATATACAAATATATATTATAATATAAATATATATTATAATATAAATATATAAAATATATATAAATATAATATATATTATATTTATATATTATATATTTATATTATAATATATAAAGATATAATATAAATATATAATAAATAAATAAATAAAAATAAATAAATAGATTTATATATAAATATATAAATATAATATAAAATATATTAATATATAATATAACATATAATATATAATTATAAATATATATGTAAATATAATATAATGTAAATATATATTTATATTATATATTTATATTATAATATAATATAATTATATAGATAATGTATATTATATATATTATATATTATATATAATATATATAATATATAATATATAATTATATAATATTTATATTATATAATTATATAATTATATAATTATATAATTTTATATTATATAATTATATAATTATATAATTATATAATTTTATATTATATAATTATATAATTATATAATATTTATATTATATAAATATATAATATATGATATATTATATTATATATTATATAAATATATAATATATTATATTATATATTATATAAATATATAATATATCATATATTATGTTATATATTATATATTTATAATGTATATTACATAAATATATATTTTTATATATAATATAAAAATATATATTTAAAGGAAGTGCCAAAACAAACCATAACCAGAGATGACATATGTGCCTCATACATAGTGCCATATTACTGACATTAGATTTGTATCTAAAAAGGTGTATATATATATATATATATATATATATATATATATATACACACCACAATATTTATACAATGATAAGTAAAAGAAAACAAACAACCAAATATCTAAAGAGAAGCATAGAATGGTGAATATATTCATGCAATGGGATATATACATCCTATAAAATGAATACAAAATTATAGATTAATTTCGAAGATAGTATTTGGGGGTAAAAAAATAAGTCACAAAAGAATAGACAGGATGGATCCACTTATATAATAATAAAATATACAAAACTAAATAGTGTATTATTTAGAGAGACATGCATGTAGCATGTAATTATTAAGAAAGTAAAGAAAATAAATACTTGAAAATTTAAAATAGTTTGTGATTAACTCCTCAGGGAGGAACAGCAGTCTAATTGAGAAGTGACATACGGGGCATCACAAAGGTATTTATTATGTTTCAGTTCTGAAGATGAATGGTACATACATATGCACTTTTATTAATATTATTAGGATCATAAATACATTATATACAATTTTTTTGTGTTTTCACAATGTGAAAATCCCTAAACAACATGAAGCCATATAAAATAGACATATTTTAAAAATTACTATCATAATTGATCATTAATATTTATGCCATCATTATTGGGTCCTCAACAGATAGAGTAAATAAATAGGGATGTATCCTGATGAGTTCAGTATTTTTTCTGTCCAACCACATCCAAGGCTCAAAGGATTACCTTGTCAAATAAGTGAAATGTTCAGGGTAATAAAATACCTTTCGGCATTTCATCAATAGCAGTATAGTTCTGCTTGTATTGATTTTAGCACCAAGCTAATCTTATGCTTGAGAAATAGATAAATTCAGGGCAAATCCTTAGCGATTCCCAATTAATTTTTGACTTATTACATTTAGTAGTGGAAGTAGCAGGATGGAAGAATGAGCAGTGTTAATGGTTAGGAGTTGTTTATAGAGTTTAGTGAAAAGACCAGAAAATATTTAACATGAGTGATGAGAGGGGCTCAGAGCTTCAAGGACTAGATTTTACAGATATTCCTGCCCCTACCAAATAGTAGATTGGTTCTCAGAGAAGGAAAGTTAAAGACATTAAAGATGGAGTTTAGTGGGGAAAATAAGACAAATGATGATTAATATCTAATGTGTAAAATATAATGAGCTAGCACTTGGTATTAGTTATGCCATTCAATAGCCACAATGAGGTTAATTTCACCAAATTATAAATGCTGAAACTTAATCTCAGATGGTAAGTTACTAATTGGTAAATGTCAGAGCTATCCTGACATCATGGTTTGCTACAGAGTTTCTTATTTAATGGTGTGTAAGATGCTGGGAAGCATAAAAACAAAAAAATAATTTTTAAAATTTAATTAAATTTATATATTCCTCACATTTTCCACAAATATTTGAGGTGATTTAGCATTGTATATAATTTGAAATGAAATTAAAAAAATACTTAAATATGTTTAGATCCAGAGAAAACACAAATAGAATAGGAGGATAAGATTAAGGAAAAAGTTAGGAGGACAGGATGAGTTTCCTCAGAAAAAGGTTGTTCAGCAATAAATTTTATTTTCTACCATTTCTTGGCCTGGTTGAAACCAAAATTAAAATACAGATATCTAGAGAGATAAATGGATTGAAACTTTCTTCAAAAACTCTCAGCAAACATTATCACTCTCATGGGACTTGAGATTCTATATATAATCTGTGAGTCAATGTTGACTTTTACTATCTCTCTACAGATTGATTTTGCAGCAGAATATATCTAGTGCACCAAGATTTGGGAGAAGTGTTTTTAGAACCTCCAACTTTACAGTAGCCATATTTGTTGTGGACAGTTACTGTGTAAAAGCCTGGTTCTTACAATTAATGATGAACAAGAGTCAGAACAAGACAATGGTGGGCAAAAGATTCATGTTCATGAATATAACTCAACTGTGTCCAAAATACTTACTGTTTTGATATGCAGACATTGGGCTTGGTGAGTGTGACATACTCTTTTCCTCTGTATTTTCATCTTCAGCCAATACTAAAAGTCTGTCATTTAAATAAACTTTCTCTGGTAATAAATTATGAGGACCAAAGTTTGAGTTTAATCATAAGTGGACCTGATGCAGTTCATCAGGAAATAAAGAGCAATAGATATCTGTACTATATAGGTGATGTATCAATCTATTGCGTTGATTAGAAAAAAATAATAAATTTTACAAGATCAGGTGTTAAAGAGAAAAAAATGGAGAGAAAAAGAGATTCTGCCTAGAATATATTTTCTTTAAATATATGCTTACCCTGTAGAGGATGAGAATAATTCCAAATTCTAGATCTGAATGGAGCACTACATTTAGACTTTAGAATATCAGAAACATGGACAAGAGTCGGACCATTTTACAACTATAAGTTTTAAAGTTTTGCCAAAATATGTATTGTAGAAAAGATAAAGGATGTCGGGGACCATCCCGCAAAGTGCTTTCCCTATAAGATTGGTAGAATGTTGGGACCAATTATATAAATAGGTAGAAGTGTCAAAAAATAAGCTTAACTCATTTGAAAGGTGTAAAGAGTACCTAAGGGAAAGGAAATGAATGAAGATACTGACTTGGTTTTATAGCTACAGAAAAAGAGAGAGCAAACTGGCATGTTTAGACCATGACAAATGATTTGAGACATGAAGAATTCAAAAACTATTGAAAGGTCAGATTTCGAGTATGAAAAAAACAATGAGAGAAGACATATGACTTTTAGTAGGGCCTTAGGTACCCAGTTCTGGCAAGCATCCTCAACAAGTCACTATTATGTCTTCTATCAGTCTTTCTACTGAAATTTTGAAGATCAATAAACTGGAAAATATGTGAAGGCAAGGGGAAAATACTTCTCAAAGTAGTATCTACAAGTCTAAGGAATTAAAAACACAGGCCAGGCACGGTGGCTCACGCCTGTAATCCCAGCACTTTGGGAGGCTGAGGCGGGCGGATCACGAGGTCAGGAGATCGAGACCATCCTGGCTAGATCAAGACCATCCACGGTGAAACCCCGTCTCTACTAAAAAAAAATACAAAAAATTAGACAGGCATTGTGGCGGGCACCTGTAGGCCCAGCTACTTGGGAGGCTGAGGCAGGAGAACGGCGTGAACCGGGGAGACAGAGCTTGCAGTGAGCGGAGATCGCACGGCTGCACTCCAGCCTGGGAGACAGAGTGAGACTCTGTCTCAAAAATAAATAAATAAATAAATAAATAAAAACACAGACTGTGGTGGATTTTCAGAAACACAAGTATTAACAGATTGATATTTTTAGGGGTGGAGGATAGGCAGTATTTATTCTTGGTTGTCTTTTTGGAAATTTGTAGGAAAGCTTGCTGCTCTATGAGGAGTATTCTCCTAAATCTACTCTGTATAACTGTATTATTTACCTAATTAAAACATTGCCAGGCACTTTTTCAAAATGCATCTTTCTGTCAATCATTGTTATGCATATTCATGTTATCTATTATGGAAAAAAAAAGATTGCAGTAAAGTCGAAGGGTTTTTTGCAGTATGCACAAATTATAGTCCAGATAATACTTGTAATTATATTTCACATATGAGCAAGAGAAACTCACATGGGGAGCTAGTAATAGGGTTTCTAGGATAGGTCCCACATCCATGTTTAGAACTACAGGCACCTAAGGAAATAATGTGCTTAAGTAAGTCAATTGCATGAAAATTGCAGCTGTGCAGTTGGTTAAGTTCTGAGTAACTAAGCATGCTGAGGCTGACTCAACTTTTATTTTTCTGATTTATTGGATTTGCTTTGAATTTTCCATTGAATAGAGTTTAATTTCAGCTTATAAGTTTTTAATGCAGTGTTGTAATTACTTTCTAACATATTTCAAAAATAGTTTAATATTTATTTTGACTTCTAGTTTGCTTAATTAATTTTAGTGTGGTGTTAATTAAGATCCATACATTTCATACAACAGGAAATTTATTTAGGGAGAGGTGTGTGTGTATGTGTGTATTCTTTCTTGAAAGGCTTCTGAGTTTTCTGTACAGGCACACCTTGTTTTATTGCACTTTGCTTTATTTTACTTTGTGGATATTGCATTTTTTATTTTTCACAATGCTGTGTTGAACAAGTCTATTGGCACTATTTTTCTAACAGTATGAATTCACTTTTTATCTTTGTGTCACATTTTGGCAATTGTTGCAGTATTTTAAACTTTTATATTATTATTATGTCTATTATGGTGATTGTAATCAGTGATCTTTGATGTTACTATTGTAATTGTTTTGGGTTGACATGAATTGTGCCCATATAAGATGGCATACTTAATCAATAAATGTTGTATATGTTTTGACTGCTCCACCAACTGGCCGTTCCCCCATCTCTCTCCCTTTCCTAAGGTTCCTTATTCCCTGAGACACAACAATATTGAAATTAGGCTAAATAATAACTTGGCAATAACCTCTAAGTGTTAAAGTGAAAGGAAGGGTCACATGTCTCTGAATTTAACCCAAAAAATAGAAATATGATTAAGTTTAATAAGGGAGGCATCTCAAAATCCAGCATAAGCTGAAAGCTAGGTCCCTTGTGCCAAACAGTTAGCCAAGTTGTAAATGCAAAGGAAAAGTTATTGAAGGAAATTAAAAGTGCTACTTCAGTGAACACACAAATGTTAAGAAAGCAAAACAGCCTTATTGCTGCTAGGGAGAAAGTTTGAGTGCCTGGATAGAAGATCAGACAGACACAACATTCCTTTAAGCCAAAGCTTAATCCAGAGCAAGCCCCTAACTCTCTTCAATTCTGTGAAGGCTGAAAGAAGTGAGAATGCCGCAGAAGAAAAGTTTGAAGCTAACAGAGGTTGATTCATGAGATTTAAAGAAAGAAGCCATTTCCATAACATAAAAGTACAAGGTGAAGTAGCAAATGCTGTTGTAGAAAGTGTAGCAAGTTATCCAGAAGAGCTGACTAACATAATTGATGGTGCTATACTAAACAACAGATTTTCACTGTAGATGAAACAGTTGTATAATGCAAGAATATGCCATCTAAGGACTTTCATAGCTAGAGAGAAGTTAATGCCTGGTTTCAGATCATCAAAGCTTCAGAGAACAGGCTGACTCTCTTGTTAGGGGCTAATGTAGCTGGTGACTTTAAGTTAAAGCCAGTGCTCATTTACCACTTTGAAAATCCCAGGGCTCTTAAGAATTATAATAAATCTACTCTCCCTTAGCTCTATAAATGGACAACAAAGCCCGGATGACAGCACATCTGTTTATAGCATGCTTTAGCTGAATACTTTAAGCCCACTCTTGAGACCCACTGCTCAGAAAACAAGATTTCTTTCAAAATATTACTGCTCATTGACAATGTGCCTAGTCAGCCAAGAGCTCTAATGGAGATGTACAAGGAAATTAATGTTGTTTTCATGCCTTCTAACACAATATCCATTCTGTAGCCCATAGATCAGGAGTAATTTAGACTTTCAAATCCTGTTATTTCAGAAATACATTTCGTAATGCATGGCTGGCATAGATGGTGATTCCTCTGATCGACCTGTGCGAAATTAATTGAAAACCTTTTGGAAAGCATTCATCATTCCAGATGCCATTAGGAACATTTTTGTTACATGGAAGGAGGTCAAAACAGCAACATTAACAGGAATTTGGAAGAAGTTAATTCTAACCCTCATGGATGACTTTAAGGCTTCAGTAGAGGAAGTTACTGTAATTATGATAGAAGTAGCAAGAGAACTAGAACTGGAAAAGAAGCCTGAAGATGTGACTGAATTGATGAAATTTCATGATAAATCTTTAATGAATGAGGACTTGCTTTTTATGGATGAGAAAGGTAAGTGGTTTCTTGAGATGAATTCTATTCCTGATGAAGATGCTGTGAACATTACTGAAATGACAACAAGGAACTTAAAATATTACGTAAACTTAGTTGATAAATCAGGAGAAGAGTTTGAGAAAATTGAAAATTGACTTTTTTTTTTTTTTTTTTGTGACAGGGTCTCACTATGTTGCCCAGGCTAGTCTCAAACTCCTGGGCTCAAGTGATGCTCCCACCTTGGCCTCCTAAAGTGTTGGGATTACAGGCATTAGCCACTGTGCCTGTCCTCCAATTAAAAAAGAAAGTTTAACATACTATCAAACAGTATCAAATGCTACAGATAAATCTTTCCTGAAAGGAAGAGTTCATTGATGCAGCAAACTTCATTGTTGCTTTATTTCCGGAAATTGCCACAGCCATTCCCGCTTTCAGCAACCACCACCCTGATCAGTCAGCAGCTACAAGCATCAAGGCAAGTTCTTCCACCAGCAAAAATACATTACAACTCAATGAAGTCTCAGATGATTGTTAGCATCTTTGACCAATAAAATATTTTTAATTAAGGTATGTACATTGTTTAATGGACATAATGCTATCGCACATTTAATAGGCTATAGTGTAGTATAAACATACCTTTTATATGCACTAGAAAACCAAAATATTCACGTGACTTTCTTTTTTGCAATATTTGTTTTATTGTGGTTGTCTGGAACTGAAGTTCTTCCACCAGCAAAAATACATTACAACTCAATGAAGTCTCAGATGATTGTTAGCATCTTTGACAAATAAAATATTTTTAATTAAGGTATGTACATTGTTTTATAGACATAATGCTATTGCACTCTCTGACGTATGCACGTACATTAGGGAAATATATTGACCCGATTAATATTTTACAGCCACAGCCTGGATGTGGCACACATTCTTTCTGGCCACCATTCATTTTTGAGAAATTGGCCACTTGGTCATATCTACTTGCAAGGGGGCCTGGAAAATAAGGTTTCCAGCTGGTTGACCATGTTTCCAATTCAACTTTTTAACTATGAGAAAAAGAAAGAATGGTTTTAGGGGGAAACTTAGCAACATACCACAAAGATCAAAACACAGTCAAACCTTCTTTACACTCTGATTTGTTCAATTTTATCTTACGATTTTATGTATTTTTATATCATATTACACAGCATGTCTTCTTCAAACCTCTTCCTCTCCAAATAAAATAGCAATGTGGTGGCATTACATAAAAGCACTTACACTGCAAGTGTGTGCATAGACACAGATACATCCATCCATCCATATATGTAGCACCCATAAGTACACATAGCCATACATATACATACATGCACACATATACACACACAGATATTCAGGTAAAATATCTAAGGTTCATTTATACTATGAATATATAATTTAATATTGATTAAAATAACTTTTTGGGTTAGAAGTCTTAGGTACTGCTTAGCTATAACTTGATTTGATGAAGTAATAAATAACTTCAAGTTTAAGAATATACACTAACATAAAACAAATAGATGTAGAACTTCCAAACCACCAGAAATTAGTAGGAGAACAGACAATAAACAATACTCAATTCTCTATGAAAGAAAAGGAAGAAAGAAGATAAATAAGAAGCACATGTATTTCTATTAAAACATAGTAAAATAAGTTATGTCAGAAATATGCTAAAATGAGTGATTATGAAAAATAAGAAATGACCAAATAATGCTACTAAATTTAAACATTATCAGAATGAGTTAAAAAAGCAAAATTCAGCAATGTATCATTTATAAGTTTTGTTTACAACTAAATGACATAAAAATAATTAAAAATAAAGCAATGACCAGAGATATACAAATGAATAACAATGGAAATGCTATTTCCCAAACAATGAAATTTATGACAAAATGATTAAGTGGGAATGAGAAAAATGTTTAATTTTGAGAAAACAGAGATGCCATCAGATAATGGGTGCAGGTATGCCTCGGTGCGCAGAATGAAGTGAGCCTGATTGATCCATTCAGGGGCATGAAGCTCTTCTCTCTGTTTGGTGCGTTAGACAAGGCTTGCATATTACAGCGTCTCAGTCCAGCCTTCTTGGGCACACCATAGTTTATCTTTCAATAGAGGTAACTACACGCAAGCATAAAAACTATGCTACTCATATAAAGATCTCTAAATTATCAGTTAAACTGCTAAGTATTGAAAAGAAGGTCAACAAATCAGCAACAATGAAAACAAAGAGAGCTAAGAAAGATCCATTTAAACCAAGAACATGTAGAAAAATGAGCCTTTAATATGAAAACTAGAGTATTAATCCAAGACAGGAGTGCTCATTAAAGATGCTATTGATAAGAATAAATGTTAAGTATTCAACTCCATTTAAATGCAACTACTCAAAATGTATGTCTTTCCAAAAGGAATCAGTGGCAACTTGTCAAATGCCTTAAAATAAATGTGGTAGGGGAATTGCTGACATAGTTTCTTCCACTTGCCTTCTGGATGTCTGGTACTTACATACTCCCCTGGCCCTTCAAGTCTTTCCTCTTTCTCAGTCTCAATTGCCCATAAGGTTAAGTTTTCCTATCCGTCTCTTGTCTCAGAGAATTCTAACCTTTCTGTCTCTCTTAATCTCTCCTTTTCTCTGTTAATATTCCTTGTGTTAAAGACATATTAATAAAAAGTTTATTTAGCACTGATCAAAAAAGGATGTTATTCCTTCAGGTTAATGGTTGAAATGTCTGGAACCTGGAAATCCAGTATCATTAGCCTTTCCTTTTCCAGATTTCATTTACACTCCTTTTATTTATTTTTCGTCTTTATTTTCTTTTCCATTTTGTCTTCCTTTCTCTGACAATTACCACAAGGCTGAAACCAGGGTTGCTGGTACTCCTAGGCTTGAATTCTCACCTTGTGACCACAAAGAAAAGGGACTTCTCTCTTTCAGGTCTAGATTGAAAAATCCTTTGGACAGATTTGTGGAGTCAGAACTGTATTCAGTCCCTGGTTCTACTTCTACTGGCTGTGTTATCTCGGGAGAATGACTTAACATCCCTCAAAATGTTCTCACCACAGGACAGGGTAATAGGTTGACTTTATAGAGTGTTGTAAAGAGTTAATAAGGAAGTGCATGTCAATCACAGTGTCCCTGCCAAAAATGAGTGATCAAAAAGCTTATTATTGTGCATATAGTAAGAATTACTGTATTAATGCAAATATTCTTGCTATAATGGGCTATTCTTGATCATGTATTTTCCAACATTTTGATCAGTTCCTTGAATAAAGTCACCCCAGGAATATTTATTAAATTTATAAATATTATAAAGTCAGGGAGGGTAGCTAAAACATTTTTTTCTGCTTGTATGAAAACACCTAACTAAAATGATGAAATTTAGCAGGAATATAAATTGTCTTAATTGTAGTCAAATACTGAAGCTCAAAACACGTTTGCATAAATTTAGAAGGGGACCAATTAAGCTAACAACAACTACTGCATATGAAAAGAAAATACCTGGAGTTGTAATCATTACAAATTCATTATGAATCTACAGAATTACAGTGCTTAAAAATCTAATGCCAGTGAAGTACAGAAAAACAGAGTATGTTTTTATTTTACAATAGGTCATATTTTACTCGAAGTTTCATACATACTAAAAGTGTCATATTAGGGGGAAGTATTGGAAAACTTCTGGGTCCATACGCATTCAGCTTTGACTATAAGACTTTCAAAATTAATCTACGACAGAATAAGTATCACTGGAACATATAACTTAAAATTATCTTCGAGTAAATATAGAAGCTAAAATCATAGCATTTGGATTCTGAACCTAACATTTTATTTAAACTCAAGATTTGCCAATTACTAACTGAATGACTTTGTCCAAGTTGCTAAATCTCATTAAGATTTAATTGTTATCGTATGTCAACTCCCAAACATAAGGAAAAAATTATCAAATAGTTAAAATTTCAATGAAGCAAAAACATATGCCTCTGTTTTTTGAACAAATGAAATATTTCTTGTAAGTAGGAAACTTCTCTTTCATCAGTTGATCATCTGTGTGTTATTCTATCTTTATAAGGCTGGCATTAGTCTAGAAGGTATCTGGAGTCACTGTATTTTTATCTCAGTAAAGTAAAAAAATATATAAAAATATGTGAAATAAAAGTTCCATGCTTTTTTCAATTATCTCCATTAGCAGTCACCCAAAAAAATTACCATCATTTTCATTAAATGTTTATTAGTCTTTTATTTGGAGAAATAACATTTTATTTTTATTACAATGTAGCTACCTGTAACTACAGAAATCCTTTAGTATGCTAGTACTTTTAACACTTGTTTATTCGATATTGTCCATATATCTTTTTAAATTTAATTTAATTTTTTTTATTATTACACTTTAAGTTCTAGGGTACATGTGCACAATGTGCAGGTTTGTTACATATGTGTACATGTGCCATGTTGGTGTGCTGCACCCATTAACTCATCATTTACATTAGGTATTCCTCCTAATGCTATCCCTCCCCCCTCCCCCCACCTCCTGACAGGCCCCGGTGTGTGATGTTCCCCACCCTGTGTCCAAGTGTTCTCATTGTTCAATTCCCACCTATGAGTGAGAACATGCAGTGTTTGGTTTTCTGTCCTTGTGCTAGTATGCTCAGAATGATGGTTTCCAGCTTCATACATGTCCCTACAAAGGACGTGAACTCATCCTTTTTTATGGCTGCATAGTATTTAGTGGTGTATATGTGCCACATTTTATTAATCCAGTCTATCATTGATGGACAGTTGGGTTGGTTCCAAGTCTTTGCTGTTGTGAATAGTGCCGCAATAAACATATGTGTGCATGTGTCTTTATAGTAGCACAATTTATAATTCTTTGGGTCTATACCCAGTAATGGGATGGCTGGGTCAAATGGTATTTCTAGTTCTAGATCCTTGAGGAATCGCCACACTGTCTTTCCCAATGGTTGAGCTAGTTTACTGTCCCACCAACAGTGTAAAAGTGTTCCTATTTCTCCACATCCTCTCCAGCACCTGTTGTTTCCTAACTTTTTAATGATCGCCATTCTAACTGGTGTGAGATGGTACCACTCATTGTGGTTTTGATTTGCATTTCTCTGATGGCCAGTGATGATGAGCATTTTTTCATGTGTCTGTTGGCTCCACAAACGTCTTCTTTTGAGAAGTGTCTGTTCATATCCTTTGCCCAATTTTTGATGGGGTTGTTTGATTTTTTCTTGTACATTTGTTTATATTCTTTGTAGATTCTGGATATTAGCCCTTTGTCAGATAGGTAGATTGCAAAAATTATTTCCCATTCTGTAGGCTGCCTGTTCACTCTGATGGTAGTTTCTTTTGCTGTGCAGAAACTCTTTAGTTTAATTAGATCCCATTTGTCAATGTTGGCTTTTGTTGCCATTGCTTTTGGTGTTTTAGTCATGAAGTCCTTGCCCATGCCTATGTCCTGAATAGTATTGCCTAGGTTTTCTTCTAGGGTTCTTATGGTTTTAGGTCTAACGTTTAAGGCTTTAATCCATCTTGAATTAATTTTTGTATAAGGTGTAAGGAAGGGATCCAGTTTCAGCTTTTTTCATATGGCTAGCCAGTTTTCCCAACACCATTTATTAAATAAGTAATGCTTTCCCCATTTCTTGTTTTTGTCAGGTTTGTCAAAGATCAGATGGTTGTAGATGTGTGGTATTATTTCTGAGGGCTCTGTTCTGTTTCATTGGTCTATATCTCTGTTTTGGTACCAGTATCATGCTATTTTGGTTACTGTAGCCTTGTAGTTTAGTTTGAAGTCAGGTAGTGTGATGCCTCCACCTTTGTTCTTTTTGCTTAGGATTGTCTTGGCGATGCGGGCTCTTTTTTAGTTCCATATGAACTTTAAAGTAGTTTTTTCCAATTCTGTGAAGAAAGTCATTGGTAGATTGATGGGGATGGCATTAAATCTATATATTAACTTGGGCAATACGGCCATTTTCATGATATTGATTCTTCCTATCCATAAGCATGGAATGTTCTTCCATTTGTTTGTGTCCTCTTTTATTTCATTGAGCAGTGGTTTGTAGTTCTCCTTGAAGATGTCCTTCACATCCCTTGTAAGTTGGATTCCTAGGTATTTTATTCTCTTTGAAGCAATTGTGAATGGGAATTCACTCATGATTTGGCTCTCTGTTTGTCTGTTTTTGGTGTATAGGAATGCTTGTGGTTTTTGCACTTTAATTTTGTATCCTGAGACTTTGCTGAAGTTGCTTATCAGCTTAAGGAGATTTTGAGCTGAGACGATGGGGTTTTCTAAATATACAATCATGTCATCTGCAAACAGGGACAATTTGACTTCCTCTTTTCCTAACCAAATCCCCTTTATTACTTTCTCCTGCCTGATTGCCCTTGCCAGAACTTCCAACACTATGTTGAATAGGAGTGGTGAGAGAGGGCATCCCTGTCTTGTGCCCATTTTCAAAGGGAATGCTTCCAGTTTTTGCCCATTCAGTATGATATTGGCTGTGGGTTTGTCATAAATAGCTCTTATTATTTTGAGATACGTCCCATCAATACCTAATTTATTGAGAGTTCTTAGCATGAAGGGCTGTTGAATTTTCAAAGGCCTTTTCTACATCTATTGAGAAAATCATGTGGTTTTTGTCTTTGGTTCTGTTTATATGATGGATTACGTTTATTGATTTATATATGTTGAACCAGACTTGCATCCCAGGGATGAAGCCCACTTGATCCTGGTGGATAAGCTTTTTGATGTGCTGCTGGATTCGGTTTGCCAGTATTTTATTGAGCATTTTGCTTTGATGTTCATCACGGATATTGGTCTAAAATTCTCCTTTTTTGTTGTGTCTCTGCCAGTCTTTGGTATCAGGATGATGCTGGCCTCATAAAATGAGTTAGGGAGGAATCTCTCTTTTTCTATCGATTGGAATAGTTTCAGAAGGAATGGTACCAGTTCCTCTTTGTAACTCTGGTAGAATTCGGCTGTGAATCTGTCTGGTCCTGGACATTTTTTGGTTGGTATGCTATTAATTATTGCCTCAATTTCAGAGCCTGTTATTGGTCTATTCAGGGATTCAACTTCTTCCTGATTTAGTCTTGGGAGGGTGTATGTGTCCAGGAATTTATCCATTTCTTCTAGATTTTCTAGTTTATTTGCATAGAGGTGTTTATAGTATTCTCTGATGGTAGTGTATATTTCTGTGGGATCGGTGGTGATATCCCCTTTATCATTTTTTATTGCATCTATTTGATTCTTCTCTCTTTTCTTCTTTGTTAGTCTTGCTAGCGGTCTATCAGTTTTGTTGATCTTTTCAAAAAACCAGCTCCTGGAATCATTGATTTTTTGAAGGGATTTTAGGTTTCTATCTCCTTCAGTTCTGCTCTGATCTTAGTTATTTCTGGCCTTCTGCTTTGAATATGTTTGCTCTTGCTTCTCTGTTTCTTTTCATTGTGATTTTAGGATGTTGACTTTAGATCTTTCCTGCTTTCTCTTGTGGGCATTTAGTGCTATAAATTTCCCTCTACACACTGCTTTAAATGTATCCCAGAGATTCTGGTATGTTGTGTCTTTGTTCTCATTGGTTTCAGAGAACATCTTAATTTCTGCCTTCATTTCGTTATTTACCCAGTAGTTATTCAGGAGCAGGTTGTTCAGTTTCCATGCAGTTGTGCAGTTTTGAGTGAGTTTCTTAATCCTGAGTTCTAATTTGATTGACTGTGGTCTGAGAGATAGTTTGTTATAATTTCCATTCTTTTACATTTGCTGAGGAGTGCTTTACTTCCAACTATGTGGTCAATTTTGAAATAAGTGTGATGTGGTACTGAGAAGAATGTATATTCTGTTGATTTGGGGTGGAGAGTTCTGTAGATGTCTGTTAAGCCCACTTGGTCCAGAGCTGAGTTCAAGTCCTGGATATCCTTGTTAACTTTCTGCCTCGTTGATCTGTCTAATGTTGACAGTGGGGTGATAAAGTCTCCCATTATTATTGTGTGGGAGGCTAAGTCTCTTTGTAGGTCTCTAAGGACTTGCTTTATGAATCTGGGTGCTCCTGTATTGGGTGCATATATATTTAGGATAGTTAGCTTTTCTTGTTGAATTGATCCCTTTACCATTATGTAATGGCCTTCTTTGTCTCTTTTGATCTTTGTTGGTTTAAAGTCTGTTTTATCAGAGACTAGGATTGCAATCCTGCTTTTTTTTTTTGTTTTCCACTTGCTTTGTAAATTTTCCTCCGTCCCTTTATTTTGAGCCTATGTATGTCTCTGCATGTGAGATGGGTCTCCTGAAGAGAGCACACCAGTGGATCTTAACTCTTTATTCAATTTGCCAGTCTGTGTCTTTTAATTGGGGCATTTACATTTAAGGTTAATATTGTTATGTGTGAATTTGATCCTGTCATTACAATGTTAGTTGGTTATTTTGCTCATTAGTTGATGCAGTTTCTTCCTAGCATCCATGGTCTTTACAATTTGGAATGCTTTTGCAGTAGTTGGTAGTGGTTGTTCCTTTCCATGTTTAGTGCTTCCTTCAGGAGCTCTTGTAAGGTAGGCCTGGTGGTGACAAAATCTCTCAGAATCTGCTTGTCTGTAAATGATTTTATTTCTCCTTCACTTATGAAGCTTAGTTTGGCTGGATATGAAATTCTGGGTTGAAAATTGTTTTCTTTAAGAATGTTGAATATTGGCCCCCACTCTCTTCTGGCTTGTAGAGTTTCTACTGAGAGATCCGCTGTTAGTCTGATGGGCTTCCCTTTGTGGGTAACCCGACCTTTCTCTCTGGCTGCCCTTAATATTTTTTCCTTCATTTCAACCTTGGTGAATCTGACAATTATGTGTCTTGGGGTGCTCTTCTTGAGGAGTATCTTTGTGGAGTTCTCTGTATTTCCTGAATTTGAATATTGGCCTGCCTTTCTAGGTTGGGGAAGTTCTCCTGGATAATATCCTGAAGAGTGTTTTCCAACTTGGTTCCATTCTCACCGTCACTTTCAGGTATACCAATGAGACGTAGATTTGGTCTTTTCCCATAGTCCCATATTTCTTGGAGGCTTTATTCGTTTCTTTTTACTCTTTTTTCTCTAAACTTCTCTTCTCACTTCATTTCAGTCATTTGATCTTCAATCACTGATACCCTTTCTTCCATTTGATCGAATTGGCTACTGAAACTTGTGCGTACATCACATAGGTCTCGTGCCATGTTTTTCAGCTCCATCAGGTCATTTAAGGTCGTCTCTATACTGTTCATTCTAGTTAGCCGTTCGTCTAATCTTTTTTCTATGTTTTTAGCTTCTTTGAGATGGGTTCGAACATCCTCCTTTAGCTCGGAGAAGTTTGTTATTACTGATCTTCTGAAGCCAACTTGTGTTCAACTTGTCAAAGTCATTCTTGGTCCAGCTTTGTTCCGTGGCTGGCGAGGAGCTGCGATCCTTTGGAGGAGAAGAGGCGCTCCGATTTTTAGAATTTTCAGCTTTTCTGCTCTGGTTTCTCCCCATCTTTGTGGTTTTATCTACCTTTGGTCTTTGATGCTGGTGGCCTACAGATAGGGTGTGGATGTCCTTTTTGTTGGTGTTGATGCTATTCCTTTCTGTTTGTTAGTTTTCCTCCTAACAGTCAGGACCCTCAGCTGCAGGTCTGTTGGAGTTTGCTGGAGGTTCACTCCAGACCCTGTTTGCCTGGGCATCACCAGCAGAGGCTGCAGAACAGCAAATATTGCAGAACGGTAAATGTTGCTGCCTGATCCTTCCTCTGGAAGCTTCATCTCAGAGGGGCACCCTGCTGTATGAGTTGTCAGTTGGCCCCTACTGGGAGGTGTCTCCCAGTTAGGCTACTTGGGGGTCAGGGACCCACTTGAGGAGGTGGTCTGTCCATTCTGAGATCTCAAACTCTGTGCTGGGAGAACCACTGCTCTCTTCAAAGCTGTCAGACAGAGACGTTTAAGTCTGCAGAAATTTCTGCTGCCTTTTATTCAGCTATGCCCTGCCCCCAGAGGTGGAGTCTACAGAGGCAGGCAGGCCTCTTGTTGAGCTGCGGTGGGCTCCACCCAGTTCAAGCTTCCCAGCTGCTTTGTTTACCTAGTCAAGCCTCAGCAATGGCGGATGCCCCTCCCCCAGCCTCACTGCCATGTCGCAGTTCACTCTTGGACTGCTGTGCTAGCAGTGAACAAGGCTTCGTGGGCGTGGGGCCCACTGAGCCAGCACACGATATAATCTCCTGGTGTGCTGTTTGCTAAGACTGTTGGAAAAGCACAGTATTAGGGCAGGAGTGTCCTGAGTTTCCAGGTACCATCTGTCACAGCTTCCCTTGGCTAGGAAAGGGAATTCGCTAACCCTTTGTGCTTCCCAGGTGAGGCAATGCCCCGCCCTGCTTCGGCTCATGCTCCGTGGGCTGCACCCACTGTCCTGCACCCACTGTCTGACAAGCCCCAGTGAGATGAACCCAGTATCTCAGTTAGAAATGCAGAAATCACCCTTCTTCTGTGTTGCTCATGCTGGGAGCTGTAGACTGGAGCTGTTCCTATTTGGCCAGCTGGGAATGATTTCCCATATATCTTATGGAAAATACATTCAAATTGTATTACTCTTTTGGTTATACTATCCCAACGTTGATGATTTGTACAATAAAGTGGTAATTTTGAATGTCATGGGCAAAACTTTTGTTATTGTTGTTATTTTTTTTTTTTACCTTAGATCACCAAATAATCCCTTTATTCTTTCAAAAACTGGATACATGGAATAAAGGAAATAATTAGGAATTTTGATATAATATAAATATGATACATGTTTAGTCAAAATATTGAAGCAGTATTAAAGAGAAGCAATAAATAAGTATGATGTCTTTGAAAATAAATATTTGTTATTTTAAAGTAATGCAGCACTAGTAGAGTTGTTTCTGTCTTTTTCTCAAAAAAGACTTGGAGTAATAAATTATGTGGAAAAGTGTCCTTTAGTCACTACCATTTGACTTGCTTAAACAGAGATCTTGAAGGCTATACATGAATTCATGGAATATAATTATACTTTTCTGAAACATATGTATAGAGTTTACAGCGTTTCTCGATATTTCAACAATTATATATCATTCTGCCAAAATTAGGTATATCATGCACACTTCAAATTCCATTAATTAATTAATGGGTCTATGTATTTTCATAGTTCAAAGAGACACCATTCAATAGTCCTAAAGGTATTAAAAATCGAACCATTATTCTATAAAGTTTGTATAATAGATGTATCAATGAAAAAACACATTATGTCCGGATCCCAAGAGACATGTGATTTTCAACCTTAAGTACAACGTTCAACTAGTTCTCCCATATCTATTGATTTGGGCAATTTTCCTTTTTTTCTGATTTGTGACTGTTCTGTGTTATTGCTTTTTATTAAGTTATACTTATAGAACTATGAAATGGATTTTCTTTGGAAACTTTTTCCCCACTATTTTAACTTTGAAAGAGATTCTAGCATCCCATCATATTTTTCCCCATCAAAACTGCCTGAATTAAAATTGGCAACCTAAAATTAGTTTTCTAACTATAATTTTGACTTTTTGTTTAAATAGTAATTTTCATACATTTGTAAAATTTAAAATCAATTATGTGTTTAACTATGTGAGGGGGAAGAAAATTAAAGTCACATTGTAAGTGAAGCAAATCATTGTTACCTTTTATCATGCTATGAAACGCATGCTTTGCTATATGAAATATGTGAAGAAGTTTGAAACTTTGGATAAATTGTTTTTTCCTTTGTATTCTCCCAGAAGAGCTGTCTATAGTAAAATTATAGAGCCTGGAGTGGATTTATGTAATTAGCTTGGTTGCTAGCCATCCTTCCCATAGGTCAAGCCAATTAAAGGATAACTAAGGGAGACATGGCTCCAAACAGTGGCATATGGCACAATGGCACTAATGCTCACTGGAGAGGGAAAACAAAGTCACATGGATTATAACTTTGACATAAAGTGAAATTGGATGTTGAACACTCGGAACTCAAAATCTCCCTCCCTTTTTGTTTTTACTCTGCATACATTTTTTTCTCTCTTCTGCTCAGTGTGCTCTTTAGTGAGAGGAGAGGGAGATGTGAACACTGTGATTTTAGTCACGGTATTATTTGCCACAGTGTGATTTGCCACATTGTGATCATGGTATTATTTGCCACACTGTGATCAACAATTTCCTGGGTTTGTTGTTGGTACTGGCAAAGATCCAACTGTGATGCCATGACATATGCTGGTTTGCTAAAAAATCAGCTTCCTACTTTAGAAATCTGAGCGTGCAGCCTCAGGACCCAGATAGACATTCGATGAGGACAGTCTGAAGATTAGGCAAAAACTTTGAGTAAAGTGTTAAAATAATATATGGAAGAAGCCATTTGAATTAATAATGCTAGATTGTATTTAGCGAAAATAAATAAAATTACAATCTTCACAGATTTTTCTTTACAAATTTAAGGTTAAAAGGAGAGAATTTTAGCAAATAGAAAAATAAATGGAAGTGTGGAGCTACTCACAAACACCTAGATTGTGTCAATTAATGGTTCTCAGAAGTGTTAGAAGTGTAAATTGACAGGCTCACAAATGTATAGATGTTTGTTTCTTAATTAAAAGTCCATCAACTACTGCTTCAGGATTAACTTTAGACTGCAAAACAATTTGCCATCAATTGTGATGGGGTTTCAATCCGCTCTGCAGTTTGTTCCCTTGGCCCTTTTCTTTTGCCCATTTTAAGAACTAAATTGTTGAAACTAAAGCTAAAAACAAGTAGAAAATTAAGCCATTTTAACGACATTTTAAAGGACTTTTTATTGCACGAAAAATAGCTACTTTGAAAAACTATGGATAAAATATTAGAGATTTATTTTCCTTCTGTCTCTGCTACTGACTTGCTGTGTGATTTTAAACACATTTGATTTCACCTCTATGTGCCTTAGTTTCCTTACTTGTTAAGTAATGGGAGTCTGGGAGTGGGGTGACTACATGGTCTCTGATGTTTTCTTCTACCATAAACATTCTGAGTCTAATGCACCTATTTTTACATCAGATTTCACTCTGCAGAAAAATAAAATGAAGAGTTAGGTTGAGGAGAGATTATAATAAAGTGCATATCTAGAAAAGATAATTCAGTTTTTTAAACCACAAATAGTTACTCTTTTGAACAAAGGTTGCTGTATACTATGGCATGTGGTACATCACCCCTTTACTTCAACATTTCTCCTTGAGAACTATACTAAAAGCCTTCACATCCCATGTCAGCATTCCCTCTCTATCCAAATGTCTTTATTTTCTCATTTTATATTGCCTAAATTATTTGCATTGCATAGCCATTGTTCTTTAGGGACCTACATTCAAAAGGCTGCTCTGTGCTGAATCACATTGAATTTCACCCTAGACATTTATTAATGCCTAAAAATATCAGTTTTCACATAGAAAAATTCTTTATTTAAGGACTCTTTGTGCTGACAGGCTAAGTCCCATTAAGCAATATTGTATTTTTGCTGTGAAAGATGCATAGAAATATGAGAATAATTTTCATTATTCACATATGCTGTGGCTGAATTTATAAATACTTGAAGTAAAATATACTTTTTATATTCTAATTTATTGACATCTTGTGAATTTTCAATAGATAGATAGTTCATGCTCTGGCTATTTTATTCTCCTCTAGAAATCCATAAGCAAACATGTTATTCATGAGCCTACATCTGACTATAGACTATAGATGAAAGGTTTTACCTTGTCCCCCAGTGCTGTGTACAGAGACTGAATGATATCCCTAAACTTAGTTTCTTTAAAATGCTACAAGCTAAACTAGAACTGGTAACAAGAGTATTGTAGCAGAATTATCTGTTCATTTTTTAAAATAAAGGTGGGTGTGTGAGGCTTCTGTCACATCTCTATATTTACAGTGAAAAGTCAGTTGTAGGCAGTTTGTGTTGAAAATGACAGCATTTCTATCAAGCTCTACATCAGCTGCTGCTAGCCGTAGTCAGAATTATCATCCTTCACTGGGCTGTCTTGCTTTATGATATCAATTAGCAAACAATCTGTTTTGTTGGCACATGGTACAATTAGGATGCAAAACAGAGTTACTGGGAAGCAAAACATTTTTCAGGGAAAAGGCTGTTTTGCCTATCCATGAGGAGGGGGAAATGGTATCATTTTTCTGTCTTTCAGTCTTTCTTTAATTTGACAATGATGTTAGTTTATTGACGCAAATACACGTAATAATATTATTAGTTTGGCTGTTTTTATCTTTTCCAATAATGTTAATATTTAATTTTTAAGTAATTTACAGCTTTTTTTTTTAGTTTTCACTTGTTCTAAAACTTATTTATGTTAGAACCCCTGCTTACACTCTAGAAAACATTACAAAAAAAACCAAAAACCAAAAAACAAAAAACACACACACATTCCACAAAAAGCAGAAGAGAAGGTACACTAGAGGGCACTAGTAAGCTATACTTTTTACTATTATTTTTTTTCACTTACCAATGTAATTTGCATATCTTTAGGGATGCTTTTACCACTTAATCTGATCTACTTGAGACTACTCATTTTTCTTTGTTTCTCCTTGTTTTTTTTTTTTTTTAGAAAAAAAATAAAAAAATAAAAAAGCCGAGGAAGCTCCTTTGCTATTTTTCATTGACTAGGAAAGTTCCAGACGTTTAGGTTCATTATTTTGATAAGCTTTATCCCACATGGATTGTCTGAGTGGCCTTTATACCTTTATTGAAATCCCCTGATTTGGTCCTATGACATTTCTGATGCTTTTTTGAACGAGCATCTCTACAGCTGCAAGTGATTGCTGCTTAAGCCCAGTTGTAAGGGTTTTGAGATGTACACAAATCACTTCTGGGTGTTTTCTTAAGCCACATTTAAACCCTAGTCTCCAGAGGTGAAAGGCAAGATATTAAATAATCTGCCACCTGGCTCATTCTAACATGATTGGTAGAGAAGACTAATTCATTTTCTGAAAAATAAACAAGAATAATTTTTTCTTAAAAGGTCAAATGAAATTAATGCTTCATGCTCAAATCTTTGGCATTTCAATTAGCTTTTAAAAGTCAGAAACAATATAGGGATCTCTAAAATGTGCCTAAAGAGAACATACATTGTATTTGTTAAACAAAATAAACCAAACTTAATGACTTTCTCAAAATACGTTGCTCTTGTCTTCTTATTTAACAAGTTTTTTTTTTAATTCTAAGTTCTAAGATAGTAGGAATAAGTTTCAGTCCCCAAATCTCTGTTGTTACTGGGTACTAACTTTCATTCTTTCAATTGCACATTCTTTTGAAATATTATTTATTAAAATCACGAGTAAAAAGGTGAAAGAGTTAATTCACAAATACACCTAATATAAAGAATGTAGAAAATTCATAGTAATTGCAATTATAATATTAATTAAAATGCTTACAGTAATATTTAGTAAAATACAATTAAACCTTGATAATAGTCCAAGTCCAATCTATTGAAAGCTAATGTTTTACAGTAAAATATCTTCTGGGATTCCTGCTCTCAAAGACTCAGCTACAAAAATACAAATATTTCTAGCATATATCTTATGTAACATGTGTTTTTTTTTCTAATACCCATATGTTATTTCTGTCAGCATGTAACGTATAGGAGCCACCTTAAAATAGGACTAAAGAAATCCATTCTCATATCATCATCCTAAAATGCTATATTCTGAAATATTGATCACCTAAATTCTACCTTAACCTCCTCCCCGCTACACACAACACCAACAATTACCATTGCCATCTTGTCTGTTGTTGAAGTTATTTTTAAGATTTGATTGGGAGAATTTTCCCAGGTTGTGGATAGGATGGGGGAAAACCTGCAGAAGACAGGGCTCAGGTCAGTGGGATGGCATTATTTTTCTCCTTTGCTATGCCAGTAGTCATCTGCCAGTCTGTTAGTCTGTTGTCTTTATGGACACCAGGTTAAAAAAGCATTAAAAACATGGCACCTCATATATTAGATCAGATAAGATCAAAATGAATTTGGTCAAGTTCATGCTGGCAGGCAAGTGGTGGAGTCAGACCAGGACTGAAAACCAAATTTGTTGTGGCTTCAAGTCCACGGCTCTTTCTGCTTCACAAACCTGTTACGAAGGGGAAGTCAAAATCTCCACCCAGATGTATACTCATGATATGGTTAGTCTTTGCGTCCCCACCCAAATCTCATCTTGAATTGTAATCTCCAAAATCCCTATAATCCCCACATATCAAGGGAGAGACTAGGTGGGGGTAATTGATTCACAGGGGCTGTTTCACCCATGCTGTTCTCTTGATAGTAAGTGAGTTCTCACGAGATCTGATGGTTGTATAAGGAGCTCTTCCCCCTTCACTCTCTCCCACCTTGCTTCCCCTTTGCCTTCTGCCATGATTCTAAGTTTCCTGTGGCCTCCCCAGCCATGGTGAGTTATGAGTCAATTAAACCTCTTTCCTTTATAAATTACCCAGTCTTGGGCAGTTCTTTATAGCAGTGTGAAAATGGACTAATACAACCTACAAGTGTTTATTAATTTTCTCTATGTAAGTTTTGAATAATTATTGTAATGATTTAAGATTATTAAAGAAAGTCAATTTTCAGTGACTGAGATGACTAAAATTATTCTTTTTCCAGCTTTATTGAGGCATAATTGAAACATAAAATTGTATATATTCAAAGTGTACAACATGATTTCAAATATGTATACCTTGTAAAATTACGATGATCAAGCTAATTAACATTACCCATTACCTCCCATAGGGTTTTTTTTTCTTTTTTTTTTTTTTTTTGCATATGATGAGAATACTTACAACCTATTCTTTTAGCCCTATTTCAAGTATAAAATCTTATATTAACTAGTCACCATGCTTTTCCTTAGGTCCCCAGAACTTACAACTGCAAGTTTGTACCCTTTAATCAACATTGCCTCCATTTTATCCACCTCTTCAAATTCCTGGCAACCAACATTCTACTACCTGTTTCAGTGTATTTGACTATTTTATATTCCGTATATAAGTGAGATCATACAGTATTTTTCTTTCTGTGTCTGGCTTTTTTTCATTTAGCCTAATGTCCTTCAGGTTCATCCATCCATGTTGTTGTGAAAGGCAGGACATCCTTCTTTTCTAATGTCAAATGATATTAAATTATATATATATTGCATTATATATAATATATATTGCATTTTATATAATATATATATACATACACATACACACACAGAACACATATATATTTATAAACCACAATTTCTTTATTCACCCATCAATGAATATTGTTTTCCTTTATTTCTTCTAAAAAAAAAAAACAGGATACATATGCAGAATGTGCAGGTTTGTTACATAGGTATACATGTGCCATTGGTGGTTTGCTGCACTTATTGACATGTACTCTAAGTTCTCTCCCCTCATCCCCCAACCCTCACCCCTGAACAGGCTTTGGTGTGTATTATTCCCCATCTATGTCCATGTGTTCTTAATCTTCAAGAACATGTGGTGTTTGATTTTCCATTCCTGTGTTAGTTTGCTGAGAATGATGGCTTCCAGCTTCATCCATGTCCCTGCAAAAGACATGATGGCATTCCTTTTTATGGCTGCAAAGTATTCCATGGTGTATATGTGTCACATTTTCTTTATTCAGTCTATCATTGATGGGCATTTGGGTAGGTTCCATGTCTTTGCTATTGTAAATAGTGCTGCAGTAAACATATGTGTGCATGTGTCTTTATAGTAGAATGATTTATATTCCTTTGGATATATACCCAGTAATGGGATTGCTGGGTCAAATGGTATTTCCAGTTCTAGATCCTTGAGGAAATACCATACTGTCTTTCATAATGGCTAAACTAATTTATATTCTCAACAACAGTGTAAAAGCATTCCTATTTCTCCACAGCCTCACCAGCATCTATTGTTTCTTAACTTTTTAATAATCATCATTCTGACTAGCATGAGATGATATCTCATTATAGTTTTGATTTGCATTTCTCTGATGATCAATGATGTCGAGCTTTTTTTCGTATATTTTTTGGCCATGTAAATGTCTTCTTTAGAGAAGTGTCCATTCATATCCTTTGCCTATGTTTTGATAAGGTTGTTTTTTTTTTCTTGTAAATATGTTTAAGTTCCTTTTAAATTCTGGATATTAGACCTTTGTCAGATGGGTAGATTGCAAAAATTTTCTTCCACTCTGTAGGTTGCCTGTTCACTCTGATGATTATTTCTTTTGCTGTGAAGAAGCTCTTTAATTTAATTAAATCCCACTTGTCAATTTTGGCTTTTGTTGCAATTGCTTTTGGTGTTTTCATCATGAAGTCTTTGCCCATCCCTATGTCCTGAATGGTATTGCCTAGGTTTTCTTCCAGGATTTTTATGGTTTTCAGTTTTACATTTAAGTCTTTAATCCATCTTGAGTTAATTTTCATATAAGGTGTAAGGAAGGGGTCCAGTTTCAGTTTTCTGCATATGGCTAGCCAGTTTTCCCAGCACCATTTACTGAATAGGAGATCCTTTCCCCATTTCTTGTTTTTGTCAGGTTTGTCAAAGATCAAATGGTTGTAGACATGTTGTTTTATTTCTGAGGTCTCTGTTCTGCTCCATTGGTCGATATGTCTGTTTTGGTACCAGTACCATGCTGTTTTGGTTACTGTAGCCTTGTAGTGTAGTTTGAAGTCAGGTAGCATGATGCCTCCAGCTGTATTCTTTTCCATCAATGAACATTTATATTGTTTCAGTATCTTCACTGTTGTGAGTAAATCTGCAATGGATATGGGAGAGTACATATCTCTTTTATACATGGATCTCATTTCCTTTGGATATATACCCAGAAGTGGGATTGTTTGATTATATAGTATTCTTAGTTTTACATTTTTGAAGAATCTCCATAATGTTTTTAATAATGCCTATACTGATATACATTCCTATCAGTGGTGTGTGAGGGTTCCTTCTCTTCCACAGTCTCACTAATACTTGTTATTTTTTGTCTTTTTGATAAAAGCCATCCTAACAGCTGTGAGGTAATATTCCATTATGGTTTTGATATGTATTTCCCTGATGATTAGTGATACTGAACACCTTTTCATATACCCACCAAGCATCCCTTTTTTGGAAATTACTTTCAAATAAAATGTATAAAGAAGCTTTTAACATCTTCTGAGTAAGATAACACCTAGCTTTTAAAAATGCATGTTTCAAATATTCCCCATTTTCTAGTATGCTTTTTTAAAGTGCAACCAAATAGAGTTGAAGTTTACATTAGCAAATTTAAACAAAACATCTTGATTACTAGAAGTATTTGATGTCCTGAGATGTTTTGTTTTCCTAGTAGGAAGCAATTCATTTAAAACATTGGATGAGGGTCATATGTTTTGCTTTAAAATTAATTTATGGTGCTCCCAACTTAAGGACAAATACTACACTTAAGAGTAAGGCAAGTATGACTGTCATAAATATATTTTCATAAAGTCACAGATTGGTTGTTTACCAATTTGAGCACACTGTCATAATTGGTTTTATTTGCATTAAAATACTCAAAATTAATATTAAAGGCTTGCATTTACGCCATTTCAATCATTTGTTTTCTCTATTACAACCATACTTTATGCTCTCTCAGTAAATTCCTAGATTTTAAATTTTTAGTAAGGTATAATTTATATACAGCCTTATCATTATTATAGTAAGTCTCAATAATAATTACTGCAGAAATAGTCATAGTCGTATGTGAATATATGCAAAAAGGTTTTCGGGTGTCAGCATTTAGAACCATTTAGAACAGGCACACATTTAGAACCAGAAATCACATTTAGAAGGCTATATTGATTCAACCAATGGAAGATCTTGCATTTATGGCATTTTAAACTATAAAATAAAACAAATTTCCAGTTTCCACAGGAAACAAGTTTAGCAGGTTTATTTCTTAAGAAAACATCTGGTTTCAAATAACACATTGCCAACGTTTTGCAGAAAACAAGGCTCTGCAACAGTACAATCAATAGACTTACCTATAGGTATTGATACGTGAGAAAAACAAAGACCTTTATTTTGTTGTTATGTAAATAATGGTTTCTCAATTTTGAAATTATATGCATCATCCATTTGACTTGGCTCCATTTGTACAGGCCAGCCTGGAATCACAGTATAAAGCCATGTGGTGAGAATATGCTGCCGTGATTGGTGGTAGAGCAGGAAGGAAGGTGAATTCTATGTTACCTCTTAAATTCTCCAAGAGCATGTCACATGATACTATACCTACAATTCAATAGAGTCAAAATTCTAAAACATTTATCTATTAGATGAGGTGTTCAGAGATTATAACTGAGGGTTCTATAGGAAGAAATATCTGCTTGTCCCAAAATGGAAAAATGAGATGAAGAAAGGGAAAGAGGAAAGAAGAAAGAAGGAAAGAGGAAGGAAGAAAGGAAGGGATACTTAATGTCTACCCCTCTGAGAGGCACTGTGACAGCCACTTTTACATGTTAGCTCATTTCATCTTCAGTCAAACTATCTTAAAGTAGATAATGCAGCTATATATCAATCCACCAAAGAAAGAGATACCAGTATCTTTCTATGAAACGTTCTGATGCAGTAGGCTGTGTGATTGACTAGATTTATTGTTCATCAGAGAAAGACATTGTTCAAAGCATTACAATGTATTATATGTATGTGTTTGTGTGTGTGCATGTTCACACATGAGATTGTGTATGAATGCATGCATGTGTATACAGGAAGTGCCAAGTCAGCATTGCAGATGAAATTATTTTGCCATGAAATTCTAAAACTTAGCAAGTTTATGAATAGTAATTTTATTTATCCATCTGATCATTTAAGCTTTCGGAAAAATGTCTGACCTTGGTGGTGGTCCTCAAAACCAGCCTTAGATCTGATGATTGCTAGAAGGACTCACAGAACTCAGCTAAGCTGTTATACTCATGGTTATCGTTCACTACAGAAAAGAATACAGATTAAAATCAGCAAAGAAAAAAGGCACATAGGCAGAGTCCAAGCAAGACTAGGTGCAAACTTTTGGTTATCCTCTCTCAGAGGAGTCAGATGAACAGTAGTTGATTCTTCCAGCAACAATATGTGACAACACTTGTGAAGTATTGCCAAACAGGAAAGTTCATCCAAGCTTTAGTGTTCTGGGATTATATTAGGGGTCAGTTATATAGGCATGAAATGACCTACGTGACTGACATAATCTACTCAATCTCCAGCTAACTCCTCTCCATATGAGAAACTGATGGCCCTGGGCTTCAAGTGAATAAAACATGCATTCATCATAACTATCTGGCTTTGTCCAGGGCCCAAAGTACTCAAAGACATGCTTTTCAGGCAGGCTATTCCAAGGGCTTTGAGGATATCTTCCAGGAGTGACTCAAAGGCCAGTCCTGAAGTCCTTTGGAGCATGTGGGGTTTGGGTAGCCCAGGTCTGCTGAGTTTACCTTTCACTGCACAACATAAAGGCTGCAGGTATTTCCTGATTTCTGCCACCTACTGCACAAAGTTAATACAGTATATTATTAAGATTTTTAGATGTTGAAGACATATTTCTTCATCAAATAAATAAAGATTATAGCCTGTGGTTAATTTATTCAGAAAAGGACGATGTACAATGCGTACTCTCTGATAAAAAAAAAAATTGAGGTCAAAATTTAGCTTTCCAGGAAAGTTTTGAGAATATATGTAAGGTTTAGGTTGCAAGTCACCATTCAGAGGCTACCTTGAGGTGCATGCCATATGACTGTACCTCAGGAATTAAGCCCAAAAGTTGGAATTAAGGTGTGTCAGATGCAAGCATAGCTGAGTCCAAGGAAATATCTAACTAGCAGACATCTACAGCTTACAACTGGAATTCAAAAGAACTTGGACATACCCAAGGAATTAGGCATGCTCGGTAGACATGATGGGCTGAGGCTTGGTCAGTTATTAAAATAAGGGGTAGAATAGGTCATTAGCATCCCAAAGCTGCTATAACAAATTACCACAAACTTAGTGGCTGAAAACACCACAAATTTATTATCTTACAGTTCTGAAAGTCAAAAGTCTGAAAATAATCTTAAGGGGTTAAAATTAATGTCAATGCCAACCTGCATTTCTTCTAGAGGTTCAAGGGGAAACTCTATGTCTTTGCCTTTATCAGCATCCAGAGGCAGCCTTCATTCCCTGGTTCATGGCCTCTTCTCTCATCTTCAAAGTGCATCAGTCTAACCTCTGACTGTCATCACATCTTTTTGTGATTCTGACTCTTGTGTCTCCTTTTTTTCCTCTTGTAAGAACCTTGTGATTACATTGTATCTACCTGAATAACATAGGATAATTTCCTCACTGCTTGTCTCAACATCCTTAACATAATTACATCTCTGAAGTTTCTGTGCCGTGTAAAGTACCATATTCACAGATTCAAGGGATTAGGATGCAGACATCTTTGGAGGACCATTATCCTGTCTACATAACAGGAGACAAGGCATCCACAGGAACAGCTGGAGTTGAAGGAGACTTATAGCAATTACCACTTTTTGATGTTGGGTAGCCCAGTCGGGTCCAAAAGAATATGGCTGCAGCCTTACTTACCTAGGAGATTGCCATCAATCAATGAATGGAATGTAACCCTCAAAGGACCCATCAACATTTAACAGGGATTTTTCCATAGTTTTGTGAATCTAGAAAACCAGTGGTTAGTAATCAAGAAATACTCCTTATATGAAGGACTCACTCAAATTAACACATGTAAAGAGGAATTGGCTTACCAACTGCCATTTATTTTGCATTTACTATATGTCTAATTTTGCCAAACCAAATACTTAGGTTATTTCATGCAGTTCTCATTGCAGCATTCAAAAATAGGTTTTGGTAATCCTCAATGAGAAAATTGAATCTGAGTGTTCATTTACCTGCCCAAGATGTCTTAGGAAGTAACCTGGAAGAGATAGAATGTGAATCTGAGTGATTTCAAAGCCTAGGCTTTCTTCATTAGAATGCTAGTATGCTAATTAACAACATGGGATATCCCTTTACATTGACTTAATTTTTTCTACCCATAATTATTAATCCATTGTTATGTTCATAATTCAAGGTATCTCTTTTTCCAATTGTCTGAACAAACACAAGTTTGATAACTAGGATTTCTTTGTAAGGATTAAGTTAGATCATTGGGTGGAAATGGTGAAATCTTATCAAAAAGCTAACATGAAAGCTAATGAAACATTGTCTTCCTACAACAAAAAACACCTTTAAGTGTTTGAAATCTTTTTGGCTGGATATGGTTTTGTTTTAAAATGATAATGCTATTGGTTCAGTGGTGACCTATTTAGATAAATACAATTATTCCATGCTTTTCTTCAATAATGTTTGAAATTTTGAAATGAATTAAATAAAACTGAAAATGAATTAAAACAATGGCAGTTTTAGAAAGTAAGCAGCTAGGATTTGAGGCAGCCTCCCCACACCTCTAATTTTCTCATATCAGTGTGATTATTGATTCTTTCTACAAGTGTTGTGTTGTGTGTGATGGAAAGACAGAGCACTTTGAATACCAAACTTGTGTACTTGCTTTCATAGTGGAAGTAGAAGGGAAAAAAATCCACAAGTATATGAAAAAAGAAGAGTAACTGATTTTTGGGGAAAACAGAAATATTTTCTCCCCCAACCCCTGATTTCTCCAAGGAAATTTTCTGATATTCCATAACCTGATCACCTTGAATTCCAAATATTTCTCTTGGCTACTGTGAGGCAAAGATGTAATGCCAGGAAGAAACTTTCCCCTTGCAGGTCTCTAAGTGAGATGTCTAGCTATCACATCAGAAATCTATCATATCTGGCCAGGTGTGGTGGCTCATGCCTGTAATCCCAGCATTTTGGGAGGCCAAGGCGGGTGGATCACCAGGTCAGGAGTTCAAGACCAGCCTGGTCAAGATGGTGAAACCCCATCTCTACTAAAAATACAAAAATTAGCTGGGTGTGGTGGTGGGCGCCTGTAATCTCAGCTGCTCAGGAGACTGAGGCAGAGAATTGCTTGAACTTGGGAGGCAGATGTTGCAGTGAGTTGAGATCACGCCACTGCACTCCAGGCTGGGTGACAGAGCGAGACTCCATATGAAAAATAAATAAATAAATAAATAAATAAATCTATCATATGAATTCATCCTGCGGGGAAAAAAACCAGATTTTTTAAAGATATTTTCTTGAAATAATTTTCATTAATCTTTTCTTTAACTACATCACTAAGTCAAAAATTGCAGCGATATTTTTAGTACTAACTCAGTCTAGTCATAACTATATTTTAGCTCTAAGTTCTTGAAATACAGTATAACAAAAATGATGTTGCTCTTGATCCTGAACGTTTTGGATTCATTGTATTCAAATTTTAACTATACTTGCCAAATGTGCCAAGCTCCCTGAAATTTATCATTTTTTTTTTTTTTTTTTTTTTTAATGTCTGAGGCAGTCGGTCTTTTCCCTGGTGTTCCAAAAATAGGGCAACCGCACCTTTCAGCTCATAAATCTTTGGCTACACATCTCTTTCTGGCAATAAAAAACAAACAAAAAACTGATTTTCAAAAACAAGATTTTGTAATCAACATTAAAATATTCACAAAGCAAAAAAAAATCACAAAACAATGAAAATAATCTGATTTTTTGACTCTTTTTCTGAATTAAACAGTTCATCTTTTGAATTGAATTCTTCTGTGTGATCCCAGTGTGGAGTTTCAGAAGCCAGTGCTTAAGCAGTAAATGATGCAGTCAGAGCAGTCGTATCCCAACAGACACTTTAAAAACCTAATATTTAATGAAAGCAATAATGAAATGTGTTTTGCCAGGCCAATACTTTTTGCTAAGTAATTAATCTAGTGCTTCCTGATAGAATCAGGGAAAATGTATATTGTGGTAATTCTTCATCGTATTTTGATAATGCTCGGGAGAAAAGGTGTTGTAAGAGTTTTTTCAGTGGAGTAAAATTGTTTTGTGACTATTGTTTGTTTATGATAAACATGCAGTTGCATGTAAAACATTAATAGCCTTTGAAATTTCTGATAATATTTTCCAATGATGTCAAGTTTTGTGTGCTATACTTGTATCTAACAGGAAAAAAATGATTTTAAACAATTTTAAATAATGTTTGCATGAATTTTAACTCAAATGCTCAGGTTTGAGGATTCCATTGTGATGACATCATTCAGCCTTTTAAAACAAATCAACATGATTGGATATCTACAAAAAGAGTGCTAATGGATTATCAATTTCATCTCTTCTTCTGCCTGGAAGCTTAGCTAGACTAAATTTTGCAGTTTCCCTTCCAGCTGTGGTCTCACAGCCAACTTCTAGCCCCTGATGTAGCTCATTTCCAGGTTTCATCTATATAAATATCCCACATGTAATCTTTACGATATTTTCTGGCTGACTAGATGGAGAGGGCTTCATAGTAAACTTGAGAGCCAAATTCCACAAAGTGGAGGAACTCTACTTTCCCAAATGCTTTGTTGGAGAAGAGCTACCTAGAAGAGCTATTCAACCAAGAATACTCTTAATATGTTATATTATATTAGTGGGGCTGAAGTCCAGGGGTGGGGTGGTTAAGCTACTGAAATTTTCAGGGTTTATTTACTACAGCAACTAATATTGCCTTAATCAATACAGATCCTATCCTTTGCAATTATTTTATTCCATACCTGAAAAAAGCAAGTCTTTTATTGACTGCCATTTCACCTTACCTGAAGCAAAAACATAAATAAACAATTTTAAAGAAAGACAAGAAAAAATTATTAAAATATCTATGTTTAATAGAAAATAAGTGTCATAGGTATCTGTCAGTGAGTAGTAGTGTTTCTTCCCTTTCGCCCATGCTTCTGTCCCCAGTGACATCTATATTCATTTCCCATAAACGTTTATGTCACTGTCCTTATAATTGTCTCTAATGGTGCCTAAAGCAAATCTAAATAATCTTACTTTGACAATTTTCTGATTTATATCTTGCAATGTCACAATAAACTTTCACTCAGAATAGATAAAAGCAGAAATGTTAAAAGTAAAAAAATAACGAGACTCAGTATCTGCTTTAATGCATTTTTGCAATAGCAATAGTACAAGTTCTTTTAGTACATACTTACCTTAAAATTAAAGTTAATGAAATATGTAAAACAATATAAATTGTGTTATGTGCATGACAAATATCATATAAAACAAAGACATGTATCATATATCTAATAATTATAGACATTACCTATTTATGTTATCCTGTAATTTTATAACCAGTAATGAATAAATTTCAAAAACAAATCTTCTGAGATTACTGGGAATCTCATTATGGGAGGTAATTTTATTATGTGATAACTGAGGAATGATTCTTTAAGGCCCACTCTTTCCTACTTCATAAGCTTCTAGTCTTGGAGACCAACATTTAGGCATTAGCAAGCAAAGTCTAGAATTTTGAGTTAAGCTGTCTCCACCCAAATCTCATCTTGAATTGTAATCCCTATAATCCCTATATATCTAGGGAGAGACCTGGTGGAATGCGATTGGATCATGGGGTCAGTTTCCCCCATGCTGTTTTCCTGATAGTGAGTAAGTTCTCACGAGATCTGATGGTTTTATAAGGGGCTCTTCTGGCTTCACTTCTCACTCTTCTTTCTCCTGCCACCATGTGAAGAAGGTCCTTGCTTCTCCTTTGCCTTCAGCCGTGATTGTAGGTTTCCTGAGCCCTCCCCCAGCCATGTGGAACTGTGAGTCAATAAACCTCTTTCGTTTATAAATTACCCGGTCTTAGGTATTTCTTTAGAGCAATGTGAAAACAGACTAATACAAGCAGGGTAGCAGAAAGTACGTTCACAGACATGACCTACAGGGTTCAAGTGGGCCTTGATGAAGTGGATTTTGAAACGTGCAGCAAGATACAGTTAATCCATATTCAGTTATGAGAACTAAGTCCTGTCAGAGCACACCTGACCATGTCACTTTATCCCAGGTATTGTGAGCCCTGTATCTATCTTGGTGCTAAAGAGTTTCCCCTTTTTGATGAATAGCTAATATGATGCTGCCGAAATTGTCAGCAATGACTATTACAAACACGGTCAGAATCCTAAAAATTTGTCTGGGAGTATCAAAAAAATGTCGAATCAGAATTTTGTCCAGCTAAATGTGATTAGACATCTCTAGTATTGCAATCTGATGACCCTAATTCTACTTTTTGATGGCAACACTGAAAACAAAATGCATTTAAAGCAGTGTAAACCACTGATTTCCAAACGGGTCTGCCGATTAGAATCACCTGGGGATTGTTAAACAATTCTAGAGCACAGGTAACAGCTGAGAACAATTAAATCACAATCTCTGAGGTTGCAGTTGGGCCTTCAGAATTTTTTGAATCTCCTAGGTGAATTTAATCTGCAGGCAAGTCTGGGGACCACTTATAGTTATTTAAGAATTTTGATGATGATAATAGTTTCCCATGCCAACTTCTCAACAGAGGTTGTAACTTGCGTATATTAGACAATATTGCCAAACAAATATTGTTTCAGTTCAAAGTAACGGGCATGTAACAAAATAAATGAAAAGCATGGAAATTAAAATTACTTGTAATCTTATCAACCAAAAATAATTGTGATAGATTTTTTGATCTGATTATTAATAAGGGTGTGTTTGTGTATATGTGTGTGCGTCTAACAAAAATTGCGTACTGTTTTGTAGCCTTTTTCTTCTACTTTAAAATTTGTAGAATCAAAATTTTGCTTTTACATGCTGCTTTATGTGGCCTTATTCTACAGTCCTTTTCAAAAACTCTTCTGGACCAAAGCACCATTTCCTTTTTTATAATTACTTATCTTTAATCTGCCCTTAAGGCCCTTTGCTTTGGGACTTAAAAAAGTTGAGGCTTACTACTTTAAGTGAATCATAAGCATTTTGTTTGCATAAGTGAAAACTGGATGTTTTCCCTTCAGATCAAATCAGAAAGAAATTTAGCAAAGAAAGTGGATTTTAAATGTAGCTACATCAAAATCACCTGGAGAGATAGTTAAACTATTCATGGCCTCATCCCAGAGTTTGATTCACTAGGTTCAGTATGTCAGGGGTGGGGCCCCAGAATTTGCATTTCTAACAAGTTCCCAGGAAATGCCAGTGCTACTGATTAGAGAACCACGCTTTTAGAATGATTTTGATTCTTCGTTATCTTCTCTTTGTTTTTCTTGGTCTCATCTTTATTATGTTACAAGTGATTTTCATTTGCTGCTAGCTTCATAAATTCCCATCTTTGATATAAATTTCCAAATACTTCCTTCAAACATGCAACTTCACCAAAACTGACTCAGACTGAGAACTCTGCTTCTGAATAGTTCAAAATTACTGATACCTTTTCTCAAAAAATGATAAGCTGAGGTCTCTTCTATGTCCAATGGGCATGTTACCCTCAACTCACCTCTTCCTCATTGAAAAAAAAAAGTTGTATTCCTTCCTTCCAAATTCTGAGAGATGTATTTACCATAAGTTTGAGATATCAAGGTGGGGAAAAGAAGCTCTTGTAACAGGTATGGCAAAATGTTTGTGTAGTGCTTTGTGCACCAGGCTGGAAAAAGCAAATTTATTTAAACCTGCAAATGAAGGATGTGTTGTGTTTGCTTTGGATGCAATTTTTTAAATCTTTTTCTTTTCAAGTGTTAATTCCTCCAGTAAAGATAATCTGTTCTCTTTCATGTCTCCTCCTTGGGCAATACATTTCAAAGATTAATTTAATGTGGATAGCATGCCTGTGTATCTTGCCTAATACAAAATCCTGAGGATATTATTTCTGGTTTAGAAAGCATAGAGAAATTTATATCTAGGAGGTTTGGAATGCTCAGTTATCAGAGAAGTATTGCTGCGTGTCTGGCCCTGGCAGTTTGCCCGTGTTCTCAGCGGGTCATTAATAAAGTCTACAATAGCACCTACATTTAGATTTGCTTCTACACTGACTCAGCAGTTGCAACTGCCATCTTACACTGTCGTGGATCATTAAGAAGTTTCACCTGTCATACTTTTTAAAGACACTCTATTCCTGTTTAGGTTAGAGCTGTTTTTCTACTTTAACTTACCTTTCAAAACTGAATTAAATAAAAAAAAATATATCTGGGGGGAAATGTTTTAATAAACAGCTCAGAATTCAGTAACTAACGGTTTCAACTTCAGTTCCTTTGTGACTTAAAAATCAAGTATTTATTTAGAAAATGCCTTCAGCAAGAGTACAGTTTGGGATTTATTTCATGTCACAGATTAAATTATTGCTTGCTTCCTTAACTTGAAATGCATAATTAATATTTCACAGCAAGTTTAGATTAGTAGTTACATTTTCTTTACTTAATTTTCAAAGTCACTTAAAGCCATCTGAGCCCTAGTATTTTTATATCACAAACAATAAATCAAGTTAAATGTTAGAGTCAGAGAGCTCTAATGCTACATTTAAATCCAAAGCACTGGTAACACTGCAGTTTATCTAGCTGTGTTATAGACTGTCACCAATCATAACCTCCAATGTTTCATAAATTTTTGATAGGACAGCCCCAATTCAAGAGTTGGAAAGTACTACAACAAATTAATAATAAGATTATAAAGAATATGAGAATGTGAGAGCTCTACTGTTACTTCCATGACAAAATGTTGTAGTTTGAGGCTTTATAGTAGAATTTTAAGACCGTAATTTCTGCAAAAATCATCTTACAGGCATCAGTCTGAAGATATATTCATTTTAAAGAGTTAAAAATGTATGACAATGTCTATTTATGGGCAGAGGAAAGTTATGATGTTATAATGCTTCCATCTGAGCCAAAGGATACCAGATGATCTGAAAACCATAAATCTGTCTCCTTATAGGTAATTGGTGTGTGTGTGGGAAATCCTAATATTGAAATGGAGTCCTTTACAAGGTTTCTTGCACCATTGGAATAACAAATGAACAATACATAGTGATGATATAATTACATTTTAAAGAAGTCTTTTTTTCTCTTCATTTAAAGCAGCAAAACAAAGCAAAAAGAAGTGAACAATAATATTATAAAAGATGACAAAATTCATATCTAAGCTGTAATTGTGGAGATATTCTGGGTTTGCATTTTTAGAGGGTCTTGAGTAGGACATATAAGTATATGCTGGCTTTTGAGTCATACAGATGCACTGGCCTTTGACTCAGCCATTTAATAGCTATGTTGCAACAGCCAACTTATTTAACTTCCCTAAGCCTCAATTTCCTCAACTTTTGAGGAAAATAATAATAAGGTTAATAAGACCTATTTATTTTCTGCAAAAATTATCTTGAAGTGATGTATGTAAGTCATAATAGTAATTCTATTGGCATTACATGAAATAATCTATGCACAGCACCTCCCCCTGGCTGTTGATACATGGCAGATTTTGTATGTGTTTGGTGAATACCATACAAAACACATGAGTGTGTGTACAAGGCACGAAATTTGCTTGTCTTATTCACCACTCCATCCCGGTACTTAAAACATACATGATACATGGTATATATCCATAACTCTTAACTGGGGGTGTGTATGTTCTGCGGATAGATGTTGTGGAGGCATTTCTAAAATGTGTTGAATTAGTGAGTGTCTCAAATTATTGCACTGAGAATCGACAAGGAGAAAATTCAGGAAAGACTCCCATGTAGGGTTGCCAGATTTAGCAAATAAAAATATACAACTCCTCGTTCAATTTTAATTTCAGATAAACAATAGTTTTTCTTTGGTTATCATAAATATTCCCCAATAATGCATGATACATACATACACTAAAAATTACTTGTTGTTTATTTGAAATTGAAATTTAACCATGCGTTCCGTATCTTACCTAGTAACCCTAGCATGAATATAAACAATATAAAAACTGGCAGTTGTTACATGTAATCTAATAGTAACTATGATAGCAAAAATAACACCTCACTTAGCACAACTCCTGTTCTCACTCCCCCCTTCCCTGCAGCTTTTTGCGGTATAGCCGCAGTGGTCTTGTTTACATTACTATAAAGTGCTAGATATTTTTTTTTTCCATTGATAGGATATTGTGATTTCATCTATCTAGAAGGAATCACTCCCTCATCTCCAAACATACCAACCTTAGACCCAGCTCAGACATTTCAGGCTCCCCGTTTCCTACTCTACACCCACATTCATTCTTATACTCCCTTAAACAATGATGTTTGTTTCTTTTGGAGCACTTTCCTCATTTTGTAATTATGAATTAATTAATGCAATTATATGATCAATATCCATCTCCTCTACTAGATTGTAAATTCTGTGACTCTTTGGCTTACAATTTTAAAAGCATTCGGCATATGGGGTAATATTTTAAATATATAATTATTTGTATTTTATTTTAAATAATGCTCAGCTTTAGGATAAAGATATCTTCCGGTTGCCAGGCTTTTCTGGAGTCTAATAGACACCCTTCCCCCCACCACCCCACCCCTAGCATTACATTCTAACATTTTTGTCCTCAGGAGACCTGTGATGGAGAGTAGGAAACTGGAAGCCTTAGTGCCTGAGCTGAGGGTTTTAGGATGGCATGTTTGGAGGTGAGGGGTTGATTCCTTCTAAACAGATGAAATTGCAAAGATCCTACCATGGGAAAAAACTGGCACTTCCCAGAAAATTAAACAAGGAGTCCTCTCACTTTTTGATTTTCCATTTTAAATTGTAGCAAATACCACTCATCCTAATCTTTCTCTGAAGATTATGCAAAATATTTAGCACAGTTCTTGAATGTAGCAAATGCTCAAGAAAAGGTAGCAAGAACAATAAAACAATAACTAAGCAGCAAAGTCAGTGTCACTCACAATTTAAAAGAGAATTTACTTTGACTCTGTTGCTCCTGGAAGGCTTTACATGGAAGGTAAAACTTCTGTGTAAAGCTAGGTCTGGAGTTGTATTTACATTAAAGTTGTGGCAGTGTTTTATAGATAGAGGTTGCAAAGAGTGATTGCCAGATCAGCAGCATCAGCATCAGTTAGGAAGTTGTAAGTAATGTAAATGTCCGTCCGTACCCCAGACCTACTGAATCAGAAACTCTCAGATATAGCCCAGCAGTCTGTGTTTTAACAATCACCTCGAGGAGATACTGATACACCTTAAAGACTGAATCACTGCCTAAATATAGTCATGCACCTGATAATAATGTTTCCATCAGTAATAGACCACACGCATGATGGGGAGCCTGTAAGATTATAATAGAGCTGAAAAATGTCTACCACCTAGTGACATTATAGTCATAATGTCATAGTACAATTACCTTATTTTAATAATTTTAGTGTAGCCGAAGTGTACAGTGTTTACAAAGTCTACAGGGTACGGTAATGTCCTAGGCCTTCACATTCACTCACCACTCACACTCACTCAATGACTCACCCAGAGCAACTTCTAGTCCTGCAAGCTCCATTCATGTTAAGTGCCCTACAAAGACGTACCATTTTTAACTTTATACCATATTTCTACTTTACCTTTTCTATGTTTAGATATGTTTAGATGCACAAGTACCATTGTGTAGTTATCTACAGCATTCAGCCCAGTAACATTCTATACAGGTTTGTAGCCTAGTAGCAACAGGCTATGCCTCGTAGCTTAGATGTGTAGTAGGCTATATCATCTAGGTTTGTGTAAGTACACTCTATGAAGTTTGCACAAGAACAAAATTGCCTAACGATGCATTTTTCAGAACACATCTCTGTCACTGATGCATGACTGCATAGGAATCCCCTTGGTGCTTCCTTGGTGCTAATGCCAGGGTCTGGTTGAAGCTGGGTAACTTTAAAATGAAGCCAAGTTTGAGAACCACTAATAAGAGATAGTTTCTGCCAAAACACATACAATTTATTTGAAACTATTCCATGAATTTGTATGGAGGCAATAATAGAGGATTTTTTTTTAGATAGTAACAGCCAGTAGCTAGTGATCAAGTATTGATTGAGTAGATACAATTTGTCTTGTATAAGTAATAACTAAAACAACTGTGTCACTGTCGTCTGCTGGGAGAAAGCACCTCACATATTTAAAACTTTCTACATGTTTAGCATTCATGTTGCATGTTTTTTTATGTTTGAGATATTCTATCATCCTTATATTTGGGAGACTTATTTTGATCTGTGGTATAATTGATTTCTTTTAAAAGCTATGCATTTTATATGCAAGTCCTGCTGAGTTTAAAGAAAAATGCATGTGGGATCACAATTGCCTAGGTAATTTCTACCTTAGATATAGTTTCACTCAATGTTTTAAAGATATACAAAAAATAAAATAAAAAACCAACCTCTTGTACTTCTTAATTAAAAATAAGTAAGCTTGTAGTGGGGCACTTTCCCATATGATTAGGCAGCTTGGTGGCATTCATTTTTCTGATATCTCTGCTTAAAATAATAAAATCATGTATATACCTTTGATAGAGGGAGAATATAGCCACATAAGTATTAAATGCTAAACAGTGGTCAGGCCGGGCATGGTGGCCTCACGCCTGTAACCCCAGCACTTTGGGAGGCCAAGGTGGAAGGATTGCTTCAGCCCAGGAGTTTGAGACCAGCCTGTGCAAAATAGGGGGACCTTGTCTCGATAAAAAAATTTAAAAATGAGGCAGAGGATTGCTTCAGCTTGGGAGGTCAAGTCTACAATGAGCTGTGATCACACCACTGCACTCCATCCTGGGTGACAGAGTGAGACTGCCTCAAAAAATAAAAAAATAAAAAATAAAAAATGAAAAGTAGTCTATGGTCTGTAGTTATGTTTTCATACATTTATTCTCTTTTCTGACATCTCAGAAAACAACAAGAAAAAGTATCTATCTGTCCCTTTCCTGATAAGTTAGAAAGCAAAGCATGGTTAACATTAAAGGAAACTTGTTATAAAAATAATCCCTGCTTCAAGAACCAGAGACGTTATAAAGATGTTTCGGGAACAGTTTTCTTCTCTCACTTCTCCTATTCCTTCCCTTAACTTGGGGTATTGGCATGTGTGATAGATAGCTGGAGTGTAAAGTGTTTTCAGGAACTCTGCTTGATATAGACTAATGTCTTATAACCAATATGAATCCTGCCATGAATGAATTGTTTGTCTGCAAAGACCTCTTCCTTTGTGATTCCCATTTCATTTTGGATTTCTGCTTGTGTTTGTGTAAAGCAACTACCACCTCTATGATTGTTTGTACATCCCATAAAGTCAGCTGTGGTTTAGTTGAAAGAAATATAGTGCCATCCCAGTACTTAATAAAGATATGTGTTTTTACAAACAGGACCAAGAGATTTCTAGCCACAAAACAGACATGCTTGGAAACTATGATGATGCAGAAACCACACACAAAAAAGCTTAGCTAATATGTATTAGATTCAAACTAGTTAACTTTTATTGAACCCTCGGTAGGTACAAATATTATATTGGGTTTTATCCAGTTTTCTTTCCTCAACAACAGAATTAAAGTGAGACAAGAACTTGATCAAGCAATTGATCCAGTAATTTCTAGGATAAAGCAGGAGAATTAATATCAAAATCATGACCGTGGTAGAACAATAAAGTTGAGGAAGATAAATTTATCCAAGCTGGCACAAAAGTAATCCTGCTGCAAAATTCAGAAGCTTCAGCCTGAAGAAAGATGGGCAGAATGGATGGACTGGATTCTGTGTCAAGTGACCAGCCCTGGAGGCTAAGATTTTAGTGCACTAGAGAAGAGTAACTTTCTTCATGATGTTCTTAGAACTGGACTGCCTGCTCCTAATCCTAACCTCAGACTTCTGAAAGCAAACAACTAGGGTCCTATTCTTACATTAGATTGATATTCTGTTCCCTTTACACATCTCAAATCTTATTTCAGATGCCCATCTCAAAAATATAAAGCAAAAATTGCTCACTAGGCACTCCAAGATACCTGGAAGCTGATAGTGAATCAATGTATTTATTGAGAGCAGCACATTATGAAATTTCACAAAAAAGAAGGTGCACTATGTAGGATAAATGTAAAACAATTACCTCATAAAAATTATGTATTAAGGACAGTATATTAGCACAGGTTATTAAGTATAATATTAAAATTAGTATACAGCTATATATTAATCAGAAAACATTTTGTGAAGTAGAACTGGTGGGGATTTACTAAGACTGATATTTACAAGAATAGAAAGAATGTTTTCTTCATGTTTGTGAAATTAGGGACAAACATATAGTATAATACATAAAACAGGGAAAAAAGCATTTGCTATTTTGCCAGTCTCTTTTTCCACCTCTCTCTTCCTTTTTCCAGAGGGGGAAATCTAATCTGAACATTTAAACTTTAGAACATGATTCTGGCCATCTTTAATTGCCGTGGTGATGGATGGAGCGAAATGGGTCACTGTGTTAAAAGGTCATGGCCATAGTTGATCTCCTTTGGCTCCCCTCCTTGATGTGGACAGGAGGCCCTGGGTTGCTAGGACCTACATGCTGTTTCTAGGGCCCCTCTTCTGCATTTTGGGGCAATGATGTTTGATAGCTTAGCTTAGTTCAGTGCATTTCAATTGCGGGTGATATCAACTCGTGGGTGGTACCATTTTCCAAGTTGCTTTCTCTGACAATTTCCAGTGTGAATTTCTAGATGTGGGATTTCTGGGTCAAAGGCAAATGAATATCTAATTTGGTTAGATACTCCTGCCAATTTCTCCTCCATAAGTTTGCACCAATTTGTAATCCTCTGTATCAGAGTGCCTATTCTTCTACAGCATCACCAGCAAAGCGTATAGTTAGGCTTTTGAAATGCCAAACTGAAAGGTGAAATATCTCTCAGAGTAGTTTTAATTCATATTTCTTTTTTTTTAGTCAAGTTGAGAATCTACTTGTATGCATCAGGACCATTTGTAGCTAATTCTCTGCATAGCCCCTCATTAGTTGTCTTTTGTCAGGGTTTTTCTGGTCACTTTGCTTTGTTTATATTTCCATATATGGTCTTTAAAATGAACTTCCGTAAAATAATGGTAACAAATAATAATCGTCCTGGCATTGTGTGAGAATCACGTTATCTTGTGTGAATTTGACTTATTCTTAAGGCATTAAAAAAGCACACAAAGTGAAGTTTAAAAAAAACTGGCCGGGAGCCGTGGCTTATGCCTGTAATCCCTGCACTTTGGGAGGGCTGAGGCAGGTGGATCACCTGAGGTCAGGAGTTCAAGAGCAGCCTGGCCAACATGATGAAACCCCGTCTCTACTAAAAATACAAAAAAATTAGCCTGGTGTGGTGGTGGGCACATGTAATCCCAGCTATTCAAGAGGTTGAGGCAGGAGAATCGCTTGAACCCCGGAGGCAGAGGTTGCAGTAAGGTGAGACTGCACCATTATGCTCCAGCCTGGACAACAAGAGGGAAACTCCATCTCAAAAACAAAAAAGAAAAAAAATTCTTTGCCTCACTCACCTTGATATCTTGATATTTCATTTTATGACTGTATTTTTTCCTAGGGTATAATTACACATTTTAATTTTGTCAAATTCTCACTTTTTACTGCATGTATAGATAGAGCCATTTCCCCCACATATAGTTTTATGCAATGAGAAACTGAAGGGAATCTTCAATTAATTTCACAGTGATGCCAGTGAGTACACAAGTGACAAACATACCGAAGTATATTGAATAAAGTACTGAATTCCTTTTAGTATTTAAAATGAATGGGCTTTACTGCCTGCTCTTTAGCTGCCTTGATGCTCCTGAAAAGAACACATTGTGTTGAGAAGTATGTAAGGAGCTTGTTTACTGTGGGGAAAAAAGAAAAGTTTAAGCTCATTAATATGTAGGAGATTTAGGCACAAATGCATTTCTATATTTCCTGTACTATAAAACAGTGTTTGTGTGTGTGTGTGTGTGTGTGTGTGTGTGTGTGTGTGTGTGTGTGTGACATTTCTGCATTTCCGAAGTTGGAATGGTAGTTAAATTGATGTCAAAAAAACTTGACATTCTCAAGATAGATGAACAAGTTATAATGTAGTTGTTAGTACTTGTACTTGTGAGAATTAAGCCAAAGCTTTGATTTTTACCTTGACATTATTCTGTCTGAAGAATGCTAAGGAGGTCCAAACTGAAAGCTGAGGTTATGAGAACAGTGTCGCTTTGTTGCTGTGTATTACTGCAGAACACCAAAAGCAAAACAGGCCTCAGAGTGAGAAGAAGGCTTATTTTCAAACTAAAATTATGATCTTGCATAAGATCGTAATTATACTTCCTGACAGGGATTATCATCCTTATAGGGATAAATCATGACCTTTCAGCTAGTTTTATTTTTCCTTCTTTTAGATATCTTATATTCCGTATGATCTTGATTTCAAAAAAAAATGGTATATTAATTCACAAAAATATTTACAGAACATTTTATGAATGTCCATTTTATGAATGGAATTGAACTACCATTCCAATAGGCTCTGTCTATATATGCAGTAAGAAGTCAGACAAAATTGAAATGTATAATTATGCCCCTTGAAACATATATGGACACACTGAGAAATCACGGCAAGGCAAATAATTCAATTTTTGTGTTTATCAGTATCTTAAAAATAAATCAAGTTCACAAAAGTTATCAAGGATATAATACAATTATAAAATTATTGGGAATTTAAAAATAATCTGAAGCAAAACTTCCACTTTTTCCAGTCAATTCAAGCTCCCATGAGTATGTTAGATTTACTGCCACGTGGTATGCTGGGAGCAAAGGGGGCCTGTTTCTAAGATGAGGAGGAATTGGAGGGAATAGCAGAGTCAAAGGTGGAAATCAGGATAGACATGACAATACTGGAGAGGGCATTAACCGAAAAATCATTTCTGTGCTGGATTTTGAGAACTAAAAGGGGTCCAATAGGAAGGAAATAGGGCAAGGGTCCAGTTTTGAAAGCATGGAGTGAAAATTGAGGCAGTGGCAACTGCATAGCCAGTTCTTTCCAAAATTTCGTCTAAAGTACAATAAGAACAGGGCTCTGTCTCCGAGAAGTACAGCTTAAAGTTTTATGGCATCATCCTCAGAGTTACGTGGGGAACATGAATAATTTAACAGCACTGAAGGTCTGAGCAGAAATGGACCAGGTAAGCAGATTTGTTATCTCTCAGGAATTTGGGGAGACCTGTCTACAGGCCATCTCTCAGGGGAGTCAGGCACTTCCAGGTAGTCTTACAGTCTTAGAGCAGTAATGACCATTTCAAATCCCTGTTGGAAAATATAATTGCTAACTATTGCTCTTTGAAACTGAGAGAAAAGAGGGATTCCAGGATAGAAAACAATGATTATAGTTCTGATAAATGATAGTGGCATTGTGGCAAATGTAGAGGGGGATAAAATAATAGACTATTTATCAAGAAGTAGCAGTATTTCAAATAGCAGAACTGGCTTCTTTAGTTAGATCCTAACCTGCATTTCAAAAGCTCTCCAGGTTGTAAACACTGGGTAATAATTACAAGGAAAAGGTGGATAAAAGAGAACCTCACACCATTTGGCATCTTTATTTCACAGGATTTATTTTATAGAAAATGGATTATATTTAAGGATATTTAGAAGAGTAAGTTCTGTACAAGTGTTGATATTGAAGAATCCATTAAGCATATCCAATATTATATTCTTAGAACATTTTCATATAAAATGGATTTCAAAAAGTGTTCAGAGATGTCTTTTACTTTAATCAGGAGAAACAGACATCTGTTCCTCATGAACCTTTCTGCTACTGGGTAAAAAAGAAAAAGTTTACGTACAGTTCAGTTTTTATACGTTATGGTCCACTAAGATTAAAAATAAAGATTCTGACCATCTGTCACCAACTATCTTTAAATTGGAAAGCCATATTCTTTAATACATTAGTGATACTGTGGTACATGAAAACTCTTATCAGTTTGTTGAGGAATAACGAGGTACTCCAAAAAACAATTACTATTTCGGGTTGATTCTGAAGAATCATTATTCATTCTCATTTTGGTTTACAATTTCAAGAAATAACAGAGACTTGAGCTATTAATTCACTAATAATTTTTTTTATAGGGGAAGGGAATTCCTTTAGTTTATTAATATGTCAAAAATAAAAGGTGTGTAGGGTTTGGATTCCAGTACAAGTAATGTTAATTTTTGTTATTGATTTATGAACTAGATCAATTAATAGGATAAGAAAGCCCCAGCATATTATGATTTAGTCTTCTTCAGTAATCTCATGTGGGTGAGAATGACGTATCTAAATCAAATTCAATGCAGTTCCACCATTCAATTAATTTAACACAATAAGAATGTCTTACGCTTATTCTGTGCAGTGCACCATGCTGAAAATCAAACTGATTATATTCAAGCAGTTGATTATAGCAATAAAAATAATCAGGAGACTCCTCTATGTTTTGAAAAATTAAGTTTGTCAATGGACCAGTAAAATGGTCACCTGCCTATCCTCTAGATGTATGTGTATTTAAATTTATTTTAAAAATATTAAAAAATAAATTTATTGAGACCTTTTAAGCTTTTCATGAAATTTGAGTTAGGGAGTTGTTTCTTTATTCATGTAAGCATGTATTTCTTCATTCAACAGGAATTCATTAAACTACTCTATTAATCTACTATTATTCAGAAACAGTACCAGGCACTGAGAAATCAAGTTTAAATCTATTCTCCTAAACAGCTCATGACGTAGGTATAAACAAAAAGACATAAAACCTCCATGAGAGCTATCCTCTTGTAATTTGGGGAATGGAGATCAAAAAGAGCTTCTTAGAGAAATGGACTTCTAGATGGAGGCCTCAGTTCATTTGGCAGGCCTCTATGCATTTGGCAGAGAAAGCGAAGTACTTGTAAGTTGTATTGTCCTCTTTTAAGAAGCTTTTAAATGTGAACACTATTTAGGCCTATCGCTTTCTTCTGGTGACTCTTCGAGCTTAATTTGCCTGCTTGTATCACATGATCTCATTACTTTTGACACAGATGTTTGAACTGGCAATGGACAACTGAGCCAAAATCATCCATCACCTGGGCAGCAGTCCAGATAGTCTGCTGGATATCACCTTGCCAAACAATCAGAATTTGTCTCTTGAGTTAATTAATTAATTTATCCACTAATTCGTTTTGTTTCAAGATAGGCAGGACTGTTTAAACCTACCCCAAGGTCCAAGGAAGCTGTGAGGCTGAAGAAAGAGGCTGACAAATCCAGTTTCTTAAAAGCATTTAATTGGGACTTATGAACAGAAGCCACATGTATGTCTCACGTGGCAGTGAGACAAGATGGTGGATCCCTGCACCAATATGCTCCAGAGTCAGGGCTTTATACCATAGGTAAAGGAGTGGTTCAGATGGGATTTGTAGGATAACTGAAGTATGATAACATCGATGTTGTTTGACCTAAGGGAAAGATCTATGGTGAGTACCTGCTCTTACACAAGGAACAATAGATAAACTCGAAATCTTAGAGACATTTCCAGAACTGGGGTTAATCAGTTAAATCATCATGGCAGATTCGCTTCCAAGATGGAGGTGCTTTAGCTTCCACACATTTACACTTTCAATAAGCAATAATTTATCATAGGTGCTAATTGCTAGCATATGGAGATAAATATGACAGACATGTATGGCATCTTTCAGAAACTTGCAATCACATTAGGTGACTGAAACAAACAAGCAAGTGACTTCATGAGAAATACATACTATGGTGAAACAATTATAGAGTGTAATTCTCTCTCTCTCTCTCTCTCTCTCTCTCTCTCTATATATATATATATATATATATATACACACACATATATATATATCCCTCTAAATAGTATACTATGGAATAAATAGGACTAGGCTGGGCATGGTGGCTCACACCTGTAATCCCAGCATTTTGGGAGGCTGAGGTGGGCAGATCACCTGAGGTCGGGAGTTCAAGACCAGCCAGGAGAAACCCCGTCTCTACTAAAAATACAAAATTAGCCAGGCGTGGTGGTGTATGCCTGTAATCCCAGCTACTCAGGAGGCTGAGGCAGGAGAATCGCGTGAACCCAGGAGGTGGAGTTTGTGGTAAGCCAAGATGGTGCCATTGCCCTCCAACCAGGGCAATAAGAGCAAAACTCTGTCTCAAAATAAGTAAATAAATTTAAATAAATAGGACTAGTACCTTAATGCATTAACCTGGATTTAGGTATCCATGGGATGAATGCTCAGTGGTGAATTCTGGTATAAATAGTTTCAAATCCAAGGTTAAGAAAAAAGTAATCAGGTGATAGGTCACACCTTCTATTTTTGGAATCTTATTTGGAGACAAGGGGCATGGGAACTGTTATAATCTGAAGAAAGAAAGTAGTTTATCTTTGCTCAGATACAGCATAGCAATATGGTTGTGGAGGGGTAGATAAGACATGCTTCTGAAATGGTAAGGAGTGCCATTTAAGGAAGAGCCATGAGTAGCATTATGGAGCTTGGGTTTATCCAGAAGATCCTGAGGAGCACTTAAGCATTTTAGGAAAAGGAGTGCTGGTATCAGATTTTCATTTTATAAATAGTACTTGGTTTGCAGTGCAGGGTATACATTGAAGAGGTAATCAGTTACCAGTGTAGTAGTCGGCCAGTAATCTATGGAATAAGTAATGAGGCCTGAACTAGGGTGTAAGCACATAAATTCCGGTGATATCCAGGTGATAGAACCATTGGTTACTGATTAAATATGGGTTAAGGATGAGAAAGAAGAGCTAAAGATTATGACTAGATTTCAAGATTGAGCCTTTTGGTAAATTCTTACAAAGAATTACCAAAAAAAAAAAAAAAAATGAAACACAAATGGGAAGAGATGTTCAGTTTTAGACTTAACTGTATTTGGTGTGTTTGATGATTGTGAGTGAAGCAATAGAAAGTTGTTTATAAAGATAAGGAGGTCTGAAAGGAGATGAAGCCTTAGAATATCTCTTTGGGAGTTATCAGTATATAGTTAATTAAAGCTATGGATCTGGAAGAGATCACATCACTAAAACAAAAGAAAATGGTAATGTTGAAGCAGACATAGAACAAGAACCTGAAGGTCACCAAATCATGAGCAGAGTAAGAAAAGTCTAAGAAATACTAAGGAGCAGTAAAGAAGAGGAAGGTAATAAAATGGGAGAGCATGTTGTCCTAGAAATTGAGAGAATATGCTGAAGAAATTAAGGGTCGAAAGTGCTAACAGCCACTAAGAGGTCAAGTAAGAAATGGAGAATTCTGGTGGATTTAGTCTTGAAAAGCCATTCTTGGGAGCCATTTTACATTCTTCAGAGTAGTGGATGGGTTTGTGTTTGGAAGCTAAATGAAAAATACAAGGGCAGTGGGGCAGTGAAGTATAAATGTATTTCTGGGGATATTTTTCTTTTAAAATAGGGTTACAGAGGTATATTAAGGTATATGTCCTCCCCCCTTTTATGTGGTAGGCTTGATCAGGTTTTCATGCTCATGGGCAGGAAAAGGGAGAAACTGAAGATTCACAAGAAGAGTACTAATTTTAGATTGGAGAGGGGGCAGTTCTTAAATGTAAATAGAGAGAAAAGGAGGCAAGAATGTGGTGGACTTCTGTTTTCTCTGTGTAGTGGAAAGCAGGGTCAAATGCTGAAATTGTAAAGGAGGATGGTCAGGATCACATCTCTTAGCACAGAAAAAGTTTCAACAATAAATAGGGGAGAGAATAGTAATTAGAGAGGGAGACTGCTGTTGAAGCTAGAAACAATGAATTAGTGACATTAATCTGTATGGTTGTGTGATTTTTCTGGTAATAACAGACATTTGAGTTGATTCAAGTTTTTGATGTTTCCGGCCTAGAACAATAGAAGGTAATGGGGTAATGAAGTTGGATTTTGGAGACAGCATTCTGAAAAGATGAGTCACACAACTCAAACCAGAGGAAGGAAGGGAAGCTGGAAAGTTTTTGGTGGGTTTGGGAAAACTAGAAGAAATAAGGTTTTGAGTCTTAGGGGTTTGAAAAATAGATATAGTGGAAAAAACTATGTGAGAGTTACATTATAGTGAGAGTGGGATCATTGAACTTAATTTCTCAGAGATCAAGCAGTTCTGGATTTTAGCCAGGTTTTGCTGTTGCCATGTGAGTGGGTAGTCAGTGCAGACCAGAGATTAAGTTTATTAGAGGTGGGGAGATCAAGGATGCAAGAAGGAAAGTGATGAGATTAGCCGTTCCAAGGGACACCATAGTCATTCAGTATTATTGCAGCTACCAGCATGAAGAGACAGACTATTTTTCTGGTCTGTAAATCTTCATTAGGGAGAGCCAAGGCCCTCTGGGACAGCTGAAAGGCAAGGGCTTCTAGGGATGAGCTGTTTTTATAAGAATGTGGATAAGTAAGGGCTGGGGATAGCACTGGTAGAGAATAGGTTTTGCTTCTTTTCTCTGAAACTAGTGGGCTACAGGAGTTTTTGTTCTGAAGCTGTGGAGAAGCTGGGTTCAATTAGGACACAATGGTGAAACAAATATTTGATGAAGACTGGGAACAAGAGGGTTTTTATATCATGACATGAAACTTGAAATTGGAGAATAAAGGAACTAATTTGTTCAGAGAAGGGGAAAAGGAGAATAATATGTGTGTAATGATGAAGAGAAAAGAGATCAGAGAGCATGAGAAATGTTTATCTCTTGATGCTGACTGACAGCAAGAGTATATGTGGGCAGCTTGGTGAATTATGCTGGCCAGACAGTTGCCAAAAAAATTCCATGCAGCTATTACCAAGGATTAGGGAGCAGTCAGTCTTCATAAGAGTTGCCTTTGGCTGGGGATGACACCTCCTCTCAGGTGGGGGAGGTAACTGCAGCTCTCTGAAAAGAGAGATGTGTACATAAGAGATATTGACACCTGGTCTATGTGCACTGATCCCAGAAGGCAGAGCTCATGTTTTAGAGGCCCGTGTCTGAGGGGGATGATGGTGTGTTGCCCGGGTGCTGCTTCTGACAAGAGACTTTGATAAACTCTGTGGCTGTGAGCTGCTTAATTGTTTTCATGTGATCTCACTCTTATATCTTCAGATGTGCATAAAATGTAGAATCTGGGTACAAATAATCTGTTTTCTGTCTGAGCATTCACAACTTTCTATATGATACTTTCATAGGAATTTGACTATGAGAGAAGGATGTGTTGGTTTATTCAATGCCCATGTGATGCTTAGTCAGATATCAGGGCCAATGAATAAAATTTGATGCTAAATATTTTAACTAAGCCTGTTTAGTGACATTCAAGGGAACTAGAACACATGAACAGTGAGAGTTGGTGGAAGAGTCTCCAAATTTTCTGTGGGGTCCTTAGAAAACCCTTTATCTTGTCCACTCTCACTCCAGTTACTGGCTTTTTCTTAGGCATTCCTCTTTATGTTTCCAGACTCACTGGAATTCCAGGCTTCCTCTGGACCATGCAATAGCAAAAGCCACCCAGATAGTTGGAGACTCTGCTGTTACAAAATAATTGTTAATCAAGTAGTGCCTCTCCAAAATACTCACTCCTCCTCCGCTATGGTGTCTGTTCTTTTTGCTCTTATTTCTCAACGTTTTCTACTACCTGGAAGTGGGTTATGCCTGCTAGATGACCTGAATTGTATTTGAGTTAATCATTTTAGAAGGTAGATAGAAAGGTTTATATTTTTCAGTGTGATTTTCAGCCACAAATTCACAATCATTCTAATCAGAGGCCATTTTTAGGGAGAGGAGAGCTGGGGAGAAGGCAGAACCAAATTTCTTTCTCTCTCCTTTTTAGTGTTTTAGCATTAGAAAGAAGATTGTTATCAGTCTTTTAAGTCTCAGAATTGCTAGACTAAAGTGGTAATTCATCTTTTTGTCTCATCTTTGCTATGCTCTTTTGTATTGTTTTGTAAACATGCAGCTTTTAATAATCATGTATAATGATTTTATATAAGATTTAAGTAATAAGAGCATTTCTTCATGAAAACTTATTGAGTTAAATGTAAATGTGATGTCTCCAAATGGTATTTATAAATTGAATAATCTTTTATCAGTTATTATAAATGTTAATAATAAGAATCTGTTCTATAAATAACTTGATATTTAGGAGGAACAATGAGTGTATTTTTCTTAGGAACACAGCAATTATCTGCTAATTCTTAAAATTTTGTTTCAGCTCTAAGAAAAAATATTTTTGGCTATGTCCTTCCTTTTACTTAATAAAACTTAATTATCTCCTCAGTGTTGAGTTTAGGTGTGGTCCAACATTAAATAATACATTTTGACTAAATGAAAATAGAAAAGAAAAATTGATCTTTTCAAAGCAATTATTCAAGTAAAACAATTTATAATTTCACTAGGGTTGTAGTTAGCTATTTTCAGAACCCCGTTCAAATTAGCTTATAATATGCACATTTGTATATGCCTAAGAATTAGGCCACTAAAATAGCATAAAATTAACGAAGTATGTATTTCCTCAAACTCCATTAAGAACTGTAATTTGGTTCCATATTTTTTCTTGATTATAAAAAGGATTAAAACATTTAAAATGTAAAAATATAAGTATATTATTTTCCTCATTTCAACAATCTTTAAAATAATGTATTACAAGGATTTATATAAAGCCTGTTTGTATTTAAATGAACTTGATACATTTTCTTCCTCTCTTTTCATCTTTCATTGACAATGTTGTATTTCTTCTTCCTTTTTCTGACCTTTATATTCATAGCAATGGCATATGTTTTTTTCCTCACATGGTAGAGGAAAAACTTCCATATTCAGCCATAGTATTTATGCTCAAAGTAATGTAAATATTAAATATTCATATGTAAATATATACTCAGAAATTATACCCATATCCAGAAAGGCTACTAGTTAAACTCTTGTGAGTTTTTTTTTTAATTACTTGAAAAAAAATTTAAAACACTAAAAAATCATATTTACATATGTCACTATTTAATGAATATATTTCATATTTACATATGTCACTATTTAATGAATATATAAATAATAAAAGGAATAATCTCTACCTCCTCCCAGCAATCCCCTTCACAATTACCCATACTACCAGAGTAAACCCAGTTAAAAGCTGGAAGTGGGTCCTAGACTAAAACTTTTATTGGAACCAATTACATTCTGAGCATGTAAATAATAATTGAGGTTGTGCTCACACTGTCATGTTTACCATCCATAGATGAGTGGGTAAACCTAATTTAGATTCCAATATTTTGGTTCTTTCTGCAGTGGATACATTAAAAAGTCCAAAATATATACATAGGAAAAATAGGCAGATGGAGCCTAGTGCTAGGGGAGTCATACCAATTAGCCTTCAACCTGTAGCATTTATTTTCATCTTTACTTTTTTCCCCCTCTCTTTCTCAGTTGACCCTTGATTTTTTTAACACCAGACTCCCATCTGTTCTTTTCTACAGCTCCTTCAGTATGACATGCTCATTTATTGGCTATAAAGTCTTTTCTCACCATATTGTCTTTCCTACTTGGTCTTTGCCCAAGTGTTGATGACAATGCCTGCCACTCGCCCAGCCGTGTTGTTTTTCTCACAGTTCTCACCCACAGTCATCTTTAAGGGACTTCTTCCACGTAACAAAGCTCACACTCTGACTCCAACTTTTGGATCCAGGGGCTTGGAACTTGTCCCTAGGTGACCCTCTCTATTAAACAGTACCTTATGACATCTTTCAAGGCTCTCTTTAAAGTGGAAGATGCTAATCCCCTGGATAACCAGAGCCATTTTTGTATAAAGCTGAACTGGAGAAGTGAGGTAATAATGTTATAGATGAGAAAGCAGAAAACAGAAAACTGTACATTCCCAAATGGCTGAGAGGTATAAAGAGTTCCAGAGTCAAGTTCATCAGACGGCTGCTTGCTGAAGGATGGCAAGGTAACCTAGTTGTCAAACTTCCGAGTTCCAGTTGCTGTTAGATCACCCTAGCTCTATGCACTTTGTTGTCCTTCAATTCTGACTGGATTGTTCAATTTTTCCAGGACTCCTGTAAGAAATGGCTGAAACATTCCTTTCTATGATCTTACACTAGACTAGCACTACTTAATATAACCTAGATGAGCCTCCCCATTGAAACAAAAAAATTTACTACTCCTAACTCACTCACCTGGTAGTTGGTCCCTTCAACTTGGTCTCTGGATAACCTGCATAGGTAGAACTTGTGTATGAATAACTACCATTTGACATGATATGGCCTGTACCTCAACCCTACTTGTATCTTTTAAATTATCTAATCAAGAGGGAAAGACCCCAGGTCAGTAATAGTTTCTACTAAATATAATAAAGTTACAGCATACTGTATTTTATCAACAGATACCTGAAATGTAATTTTAAATCCTTAATCTGCATTCTTAAATTCTCTATGTTGCAGACAAACAACGTATGCAAGAGAAAGGTTGAAAAGTACTCTTTTCTACAGGTTTGTGGTTTGGTATTGTTACTTCCGAATTTTAGTTTTATTTAAAAAGTTAAGTGTGGGGATAAAAAGGTTAATGACATATGAAGATCTCAACTAATAGAAAATGTAAAGTCAAATTTGCCTGTCAGATGAGAAATCTACAATCTCTAGCTACAGAAGGATTTCAGATTCTGAGTAATCTGTCTAGACAAGTGTAATTATAGAAAGAAAGTGAAAATTACTTTTCTAGTATTAAGTTTAAAGTTTGATAACCAAAAATGATTGTTATTTAGTCATATACAAATAACCACCATTTTAAGAGATGCAGTATACCAAGGGATGTGGTTTTACAACCATATATCTCACTGCATGATAGATATTTCTTTTCTTTCTTTTTGCTGGATTTAAACATTTTTTAAATAGTTCTTGTTTTTCTTCCTACGTATTCTAAGCATGAAATTCAAAGGAAACTGGTAAATTTTTGTTTTATTTTAAGATCGGTTTTTTTTTTTTTTTTTTTTTTTGAGGCAGAGTCTCACAGGCTGGAGTGCCATCTTGGCTCACTGCAACCTCTGCCTCCCAGGCTCGAGTGAGTCTCCTGCCTCAACCTCCCCAGTAGCTGGAACTAGTTTTTTTATTAGATAAAAATATGTAACATGAGATCTGCCCTCTTAACAAATTTTTAAGACTAGACTACACTATTGTTAATAATTAAAGGCACATTGTTATATAGAAGATCTACGGAAATTATTTTTTGTTTTGCATGACCAAAATTATATACCCATTGAACAGCAATTCCTCATTATTCCTTCCCACTAGTTAGTCCTTGGCAATTGCCATTCTACTTCCCACTTCTATGATTTTGACTACCTTAGATAACTCATATAAATGGAATTACACGTTATGTGTCCTTCTGTGTTTGGCTAATTTCACTTAACATAATGCCCTCAAAGTTCATCCATGTTGTCACATATGGCAGGATTTCCTTCTTTTTTAAGGCTGAATAATGTGTATACTTTACGTAGTCGCATACAATTATATGCATATATCACATGTTTTAAATCCATTCATCCTTTGATGGATATTTAGGTTGTATCCACATCTTGGCTATTGTGAATAGTGCTATAAAAACATGGAAGTATACTTGAAGAGATACTTATTTCAGTTCTTTTAGCTATATATCCAGCAGTATGGTTGCTGGATCATATGGTAGTTACATTTTTTAGTTTTTTAAATAACTTCCATACTGTTTTCCATAGTGGCTTCATCATTTTACATTTCCACCAACAGTGTACCAGGAGTTCCCTGTTTTCCACATTCTTGACAATACTTATCTCTATTTTTTCATAATAACAAATCTAATAGGTGTAAGCCAGTATCTTGTGGGTTTGATCTGCGTTTCTCTGATGATTAGCAATGTTAGCATGCTTTTATCTATCAGTTGGCCATTTGTATGCTTTCTTTGGAAAAATGTCTGTTCAAGTCCTTTGCTGATATTTTAGTCAGGTTATTATTATTGTTATCGAGTTTTTGGAATTTCTTATATATATTGGATAACAAACCCTTATCAGATATGGAGTTTGCAAATATTTTTCCCATTTCATAGGTTGCCTTTTCACTTTGTTAATTGTTACCTTTGCAGTGCAGAAACTTTTTAGTTTGATGAAATCTCACGTATCTATTTTTCTTTTGCTGCCTGTTCTTTTGCTGTCATATTCAGCAAAGCATTGCCAAGCCCAATGTCCTGAAGCTCTTTCCCTATAATTTCTTCTAATAGTTTTATAGCCTCAGGTCTTATGTTTAAGTCTTTAATCCATTTTGAGTTGATTTTTATGTATGGTGAAAGATAAGAGTACAATTTCATTCTGTTACATGTGGATATAATATTCAGTTTTCATAGCACTATTTGTTGAAAAGGCTGTCTATCATTTCCACATTTTATATCCTTGGTACTCTTGCCACAGGTCAGTTGACCATATGTGGCTGGTCTATTTCTGGGCTCTCTATTCTGTTGCTTTGGTCTATTTGTCTGCCTTTATGCCAGTTCCTTAGAGCTTTGATTGCTGTCAGTTTGTAATATGTTTTGAATTCCAAAAGTGTGAGGCTTCCAGCTTTGTTCTTTCTAAAGATAATTTTGACTGTTTGAGTTGCCTTGTGATTCCATATAAATTTTAGGATTGACTTTTCTATTTTTGCAAAATGCCATTGGTATTTTGCTAGGGATTTCATTGAAATCTGTAGATTGCTTTCAGTGGTATGGATATTTCAACAATGTATTCCAATCCATGAACATGAAATAGTTCCCATTTATTTCTGTCTCCTTTCACTTATTTCAGGAATGTTTTATACTTTTTAATGTACAAGTCTTTGCTTTCTTGGTTAGCTTCATTCTTAAGTATTCTATTCCTTTTCATACTATTGTAAATTAGATGTTTAAAAAATTTCCTTTAAAAATTATTTATTGTTAATGAATGTAAGTGCAACTAATATTTATATATAGATTTTCTATCCAGCAACCTTGTTGAATTTATGTTTTAGTTATAACAGCATTTTGTGGACTCTCTATGATTTTCTACTTATAATATCATGTATCCTGCAAACAGTGATAATTTTATTTCTCCCTTTACAAGTTGGATGCCTTTTAATCCTTTTTCCTGCCTAAATGCTCTAGCTAGGACTACCTGTGCTATGTTGAATAAAAGTGGTGAGAGTGACCATTCTAACCTTGTTTCTGATCTTAAATGAAAAGCTTTCAGTTTTTTATCATTGAGTATGATGTCAGCTATAGGCTTTTCATATATGACCCTTATTATGTTGAGGTAATATCTTTTATTTCTAGTATGTTGAGTGTTTTTTTAAATTATAAAAGGATGTTAAATTTTTGTCAAATGTTTTTTGCCTCTACTGAGATAATCATGTGATTTTTTTTTACCCTTTATTCTGTTAATGTGATGCTATAGTCTAAATATTTGTATCCCCCCAATTTATACATTAAAACCTAGTCTCTAATGTGATGGCATTAGAAGATGGGGTGTTTGGAAGGTGATTAGGTCATAAGGGCTCTGCCCTCATGAATGGGATTAGTGCTTTTATCAAAGAAATTCCAGAGAGCTAGCTAGTCCCTTCCACCATGTAAGGATGCAGGGAAAATATGCTGTTCGTGGGAATCAGAGCCTCATCAGATACAAACTCTGTTGGTGCTTTGACCTTAGATTACCCAGATGAGAATTGTTTATAAGCCACAGAAAATATGTCATTTTGTTGTAGAAACCCAAATGAACTAAGGCATGTGGTGTATCTCATTGATTTATTTTATATGTTAATCCATTGAGCCATCCTTGGATCTCAGGAATAAATTCCAATTGGTCATTTTGTATGATGATTTTAATGTGCTGTTGAATTTAGTTTTCTAGTATTTTGTTGAGTATTTTTCCATCTGTATTCATCAGGAATATTGGCATGTAGTTTCCTTTTCTTGTATAGATGGTCCTTGATATATAATGGTTCAAATTAGGATTTTTCAACTTTACAATGGGTTTATTCTGACATAACCCCATAGTAAGTTGATGAACATCCAAACTTATGGCTTGAGTTACAATTTTCTGACTTTATGATGAGATTATTGGGGTACTAAATGCATTTCCAACTTAATATTTTTGACTTACAGTGGGGTTTATTAGGATGTAACCCTGTAGTAAGTCGAGGAGCACCTGTAGTATCTTTATATGGCTTTGGTAACAGGGTAATGCTGGCCACGTAAAATGAGTTTGGAAGTGCTCCCTTCCTTCCAATCTTTTGGAAGAGTTTGAAAAAGAATTGGTATTAATTCGCCAAGTGTTTGGTAGAATTCTCCATTAAAGCTGTGATCCTGGGCTTTTCTTTGTTTGATTCAAACAGTGTTTGATTACTGATTCAATCACCATACTAGTTATAGATCTGTTCAAATTTTCTATTTCTTCATGATTCAGCCTCGGTAGAGTATATGTTTTTATGAATTTATCCATTTCTTCTATATTATCCAATTTATTGGCATATAGTCCTTCATAGTAGCCTCTCATAACCCTGTTTATGTAGCATCAGTTGGTATGTCTCCTCCTTCATTTCTGATTTTATTTATTTGAGTCTTCCCTTTTTTTGTTGGTCTGGCTAAAGTTTTGTTAACCTTATTTTCAAAAAACCAACTCTTAGTTCCATCGACTCTTTTTTCTATTATTTTTCTCTTCTCTGTTTTATTTAATTCTGCCCCAATTTTTATGATTTCCTTCAATTAACTTGGGGCTTGGCTTATTCTTCTTTTTCTAGTTCACTGAGGTATAAAGTTAGTTTTTTTATTTGAGATCTATCTTCTTTTTTTTTAAATGTAGTTATTTATCACTATAAACTTCCCTATTAGTACTACATTGCTGCATCCCTTAACTTTTGGTATGTTGTATATATACTTTGTTGGTTTTGATGTTTTTCTTTCATTTTTTAAGTTTACAGATACAATTGTATTTGTCATGTACAGTATGATGTTCCAAAATATGTGTACATTGTGGAATGACTAAATCTAGCTAATTACAAGTACATTACTCACATAGTTATCATTTTTTAATAACAGTTAACATCCACTCTCATAGCATTTTTCAAGAATACAATAAATTGTTATTAAGAATAGTGGCCATGTTGTATAATAGATCTCTTGAACTTATTCTTATCTTACTGAAATTTTGTTTCCTTTGAGCAACATCTGCCTAGCCACTGAGCCAACACCCCGGGCCCTGGGTAACCATCATTCTGCTCTTTACTTCAATGAGATCAAACATTTTAGATTCTGAATGTGAGTGGGATCATGTGGTATTTATGTTTCTGTGCCTGGCTTATTACATTTAGCATCATGTTCTATAGTTTCATCCATGTTGTGACAAATGACAGGATTTCCTTATTTTTAAGGCCAAATGTATTTAATTGTATATATACTCCATATTCTTTAACCATTCATTTATTGCTGGACACTTGGGCTGTCCATACCTTAGCTTTTGTAAATAATCCTGTAATAAACATGAGAGAATAGATATCGCTTCAGTGTGCTGATTCTATTTTCTTAAATATATCCAATAGTGGGATTTCTAGATCCTATGATAGTTCTATTTTTAAATTTTTGAGGAACTTCCATACAGTTTTCCATAATGATTGTACTAATTTAAATTCCTACTTATAATGTGTAAATGTTCCCTTTTCTCCACATCCTTGTCAATACTTGTTATCATTTGTCTTTTTTGATAATAACCGTCCTAACAGATGTGAGATGATATCTCACTCTCATTTTATTTTGTATTTCCCTGGTGAATAGTGATGTTGAACATTTTTTCAGATATCTGTTGGACATTTGTATGTCTTCTTTTGAGAAATGTCTATTGATATCTTTTGCCCACTTTTTAATTAGGTTACTCGTTTTCTTGCTATTGAGTTGTTTGAATACTTTGTGTATTTTATATATTAACCCCTTTTTAGATACTGGAAATTTCTTGTCCCATTTTGTAGGTTGTCTCTTCACTCAGTTGATTGTTTCTTTACCTATGTTGAACCTTTTATTTTGTTGTAATCCCATTTGTCTATTTTTACTTTTGTTACTTTTGCTTTTGGATCATATCAAAAAATTTGTTGTTTATAAAAATGCTGCTGATTTTTGTACGCTGATTTTGTATCCTTCAACTTTACTGAATTTTTTAAATTAGTTCAAACAGGTTTTTTTTTTTGGTGGAGTTTTTATGTTTTTCTGCATATAAGATCATGTCATCTGCCAAAAAAACTTATTTTTTTAAATTTGGATGGATTTATTAACTTACTTCTTTATAATTTGGATGGATTTTATTTTTTTCTCTTTCCTAATTGCTCTGGCTAGGACTTGCAGTACTGTGTTGAATAGAAATGGTGAGAGTGTGCTTCCTTGTCTTGTGCTGGATCTTAGAGGAAAAGCTTCCATAGAAACAACAACAGCATGCAGTGTGAGAATGGACTAATACATGCATTATACTGGCATACAAACATGGAGCTGACATAAAGAATAGAGAACCCATAAACAATTCATTTACAGTAATCTGATATTCAAAAATGTGACAAGAACACACAATGGGAAAAGGACAGTCTTCAATAAATGGTATTTGGAAAACTGGATATCCACAGGCAGGACAGTGAAATTAAACCCTTAACTTATACCATATTAAAAAAACAAAAACAAAAACAAACAAAAAACAGCCTAAAGTCAATTAAAGACTTAAGTGAAATACTGAAAACTATGAAACTATTAGAAGAAAACGGGGGTAATTTATAGATTCAATGCCATCCCCATCAAGCTACCAATGACTTTCTTCACAGAATTGGAAAAAACTGCTTTAAAGTTCATATGGAACCAAAAAAGAGCCCTCATTGCCAAGTCAATCCTAAGCCAAAAGAACAAAGCTGGAGGCATCACGCTACCTAACTTCAAGCTATAAAGCTTCCAACTTTTCTGCATTGAATCTGACAAAGGGCTAATATCCAGAATCTACAATGAACTCAAACAAATTTACAAGAAAAAAACAAACAACCCCTTCAAAAAGTGGGCGAAGGACATGAACAGACACTTCTCAAAAGAAGACATTTATGCAGCCAAAAAACACATGAAAAAATGCTCATCATCACTGGCCATCAGAGAAATGCGAATCAAAACCACAATGAGATACCATCTCACACCAGTTACAATGGCAATCATTAAAAAGTCAGGAAACAACAGGTGCTGGAGAGGATGTGGAGAAATAGGAACACTTTTACACTGTTGGTGGGACTGTAAACTAGCTCAACCATTGTGGAAGTCAGTGTGGCGATTCCTCAGGGATCTAGAACTAGAAATACCATTTGACCCAGCCATCCCATTACTGGGTATATACCCAGAGGACTATAAATCATGCTGCTATAAAGACACATGCACACGTATGTTTATTGCGGCATTATTCACAATAGCAAAGACTTGGAACCAACCCAAATGTCCAACAAGGATAGACTGGATTAAGAAAATGTGGCACATATACACCATGGAATACTATGCAGCCATAAAAAATGATGAGTTCATGTTCTTTGTAGGGACATGGATGAAATTGGAAATCATCATTCTCAGTAAACTATCGCAAGAACAAAACACCAAACACCGCGTATTCTCACTCATAGGTGGGAATTGAACATTGAGATCACATGGACACAGGAAGGGGAATATCACACTCTGGGGACTGTTGTGGGGTGGGGGGAGGGGGGAGGGATAGCATTGGGAGATATACCTAATGCTAGATGATGAGTTAGTGGGTGCAGCGCACCAGCATGGCACATGTATACATATGTAACTAACCTGCACATTGTGCACATGTACCCTAAAACTTAAAATATAATAAAAAATAAAAATAAAAAAAAAATAGAAGTAATCCCTGATCCTTAATTTCGTGGAAGAGTTTAAGAAGAGTTGGTATTGTTTATTTTTAAAATATTTAGTAGAATTCAACGGTGAAGCCGTCATGTCTTGGGCTTTTCTTTGATGGGAAAATTTTTATTATTGTTTTAATTTTCATACTTATTATTGGTCTGCTCAGATTTTTTATTTTCTCATAATTTCATCTTGGTGGGTTGCATCTGTCAAGGAATTTGTCCATTTATTCTGGGTTACACAATTTTGTGATATTTAATTGTTCCTAATAGTCTCTTATGATCCTTTGTAACTATATGATATCAATTATAATGCCCTCTTTTTATTATATATTATATTAATATTTATTAGAGTATTTGTTATTTTTTCTTGTCTAGCTAAAGGTTTGTTCATTTTGTTTATCTTTTCAAAAAGCAACCCCATAGTTTTGTTGATCTTTTCTATTGTTTTCTAGTCTCTATTTCATTTATTCCCATTCTGATGCTTATAATTCCCATCCTTCGACTAACTTTGGCCTTAGTTTGTTCTTGTTTCTAGCCTATTAGGTGTCAAGTTAGGTTGTTTATTTGAGATCCTTCTTCTTTTTTGAAGTAGGTGTTTATTGCTATAAACTTCCTTCTTAGAACTGCTTTTGCCCTACACTGTAAGTTTTGGGGTTTTGTGTTTTTATTTTCATTTGTTTCAGAAAATTTGTAAATTTCCCTTTTAATTTCTTCATTGCTCCATCGGTTGTTCAGAAGCATGTTGCTTAATTTTTACATATTTGTGAATTTTCTGAAGTTCGTCCTATTACTAATTTCTAGTTTTATACCATTGTGGTCAGAAAAAATACTTGATATGATTTCAGTCTGCTTACATTTGTTAAGACTCATTTTGAGGCCTAATACGTAATCTCTTTTGCAGGATGTTCCATGTACAGTTGAAAAGAACATGTATTTTGTAGCTGTTGAAAGGAACATTTTATATATATTTGTTAGGTCCCTTTGTTCTAGAGGGCAGTTCATTTATAATGTTGCAAGGTTTTCTGTCTGGATGATCTGTCTGTTCTTGAAAGTAAGGTTTTTGAGTCCTATACTGTTATTTTACTGCAGTCTGTCTCTCCCTTCAGATCTATCAATGTTTGCTTAATATATTTAGATGCTCCAGTGTTGGGTGCCAATAGATTTACAATTGTTACATTTTCTTGCTGAATTGACCCCTTTATCATTATATAATAATCTTCCTTGTCCGTTTTTACAGTTTTTGGCTTAAAGTCTATTTTTATCATACAAGTATGGCTACTTGTGCTCTATTTTGGTTTCCATTTGCCTGCAATATCTTTTCCATTCCTTCACTTTCGGTCTTTGTGTGTACTCATAGTTGCAATGATTTTTTCTTTGGTAGGCAGCATATTGTTGGATCTTATTATTAATATCATCAATCCATTCAACCACTGTATGACTTTTGACTGGAGAATTTAATCCATTTACCTTGAAGGTAACTGTTGATAAGTAAGGACTTACTACTGCCATTTTTATTAATTGTTTTCTAGTTGTTTTGTAGATTCTTTGTTCCTTTCTTTTTCCTCTCTTGCTGTCTGCCTTTGCTGCTATGCAATTTTCTTTAGTTATGTTTTTATTCCTTGTTGTTTATTTTTGTTTTTCAACCACAAGTTTTTGCTTTGAAGCTTGCAAAAAAACATGGTTATAATAGGTAGCTGAGAACAACTTAACTTTGATCACACACACAAAACCCCTCCAAAAACACCTGTATAATTTAATTTCACTCCTTCAACATTTTGAATTTTTGATGTTACAATTTAAATCTTTTTATTTGGCATATCCCATAACATATTATTATAGTTATTATTATCTTAATAGTTTTGTCTTTTAACGTTTATACTACAGATATGTGAGGTACACACCATTGTGGTATTAGAGTATTCTGAACTTTACAGTTTACTTAGTTTTACCAGTGAGTTTTATACTTTCAGATGTGTTTGTGTTATTCATTACCATCCTTTTCTTTCAGCATGAAGATCTCCCTTTAGCATTTCTTGTAAGGCAGTTTTGGTGGTAACGAACTTCCCATGTTGTATCGTTAAATTTCCATTTTGAGTTCTTATTTGACCTATTGATTGTTAAGATTATTTTATTTCCCACATGTTCATGATTTTTCCAGTTTCCTTCTGTTATTAATTCCTAGTTTATTTCCATTGTATTTAAAATTTGATGTGATTTCAATCTCCTTAAAAATGTATACTTTTTTCCCCCAAAAATGTGATTTATTCTGTGCAATGTGCTGTTTGTGCTTGAGAAGTATATGTATTCTCATGCTGTTGGGTGGAATGTTCTGTATATATTTGCTAGGTATACTTGGGTTACAGTGCTGTTAAAGCCGTCTGTTTCCTTATTGATCTTCTGTATCATTGTTCTATCTATTATTAAAAGTGAGGTATTAAATTCTACTGTTATGCTATTATCTACTTCTTTCAGTTCTGTCAAAATTTTATTTTTATATTTGGGTTCTCTGATGGGTGTGTATATGTGTTTATAAATGTTATATTTCTCTGTATTGACTCATTTATTATTTATATAATGGTCTTTTTTGTCTTGTGATAGTTTTTAATTTAATATCTATTTTGTCTGATATAAATGTGGCTACTACTGCTCTCTTGGTTATCATTTTTATGGAGTTTAAAAAATCTTTTCTTTTTCAGACTATGTGTGTTCTTAAATCTAAAATGAGTTCCTATAAAAAGCTCATAGTTGGATCTTTTAAAAAAAAATCCTTTCAGCCACAGTATGTATTTTGATTGGGCAGTCTTATTCATTTGGATTTAATTACTGATAGGGAAGGGCTTACTATTACCATTTTGTTACCTGTTTTCTGTTTGGTATCTTCCTTATCCTTCTTTTCATTTTTTGCTGTCTTTCTTTGTATTTCCTTTATTATTTGTAGTAACATGCTTTGATTCCTTTCTAATTTTCTTTTATATATCTTCTATACATATTTTCTTATAGTTACCATGGGGCTTATATAAAGTGTCTTGCAGAACAATCAACTTTATGCTGTTATTGTTAATTTTTATCTGTTTGTCTCTTGAATATATGTCAAAATTAAAAGTTATATGCCTGGCTTTGTGCAGTGGCTCACACCTGTAATCCCAGGTCTTTGGGATGCTGAGGAGGGCAGATGATTTGAGCCTTCAATATAAAGGATGATTAAAATCAGAAGAACAAGGAAAAAAATGATCGTATATTATATAAACTGAGCCAGTGGAGTAGTTTGAAAGTGGGGAACCATCATAGGGCTTATTTCAAACCTGAATCAAAGCAAGTGAATCTTGTTAAAATTTCACAATCATAGTGAGGGTTTGATGCATCTATATAGTATTAAGTCAAGAGGATACATACATGCTTGGCCTTTCATTTTGCCAGAACTCTGGGTGGCTACTGATGGTGTTCTACTCATGCAGAATAAAAATAAGTGGTAAGTCAAAATGCCACTGTGTAGATAGCTAGGTTGGTCGCTAGCTGTCATGAGGCGCTCTGGTAAGCAGAGTCTCAATCTCTGGATCCAAATCTAACCTGTGGTACTTTTGATCTAGCAATGCTGTAAGAATTAGTCACTGGGCTGAGACTTTATATAAGCTTTTTGTATATCTTTCCAGCTGCCCTTCCTCTATCCATTGTCTGTACTTCAGCTTGAAAGATTTTTTTTTTTTTTTTTTTTTTTTTTTTTTGAGCAGAGTTTCGCTCTTGTTGCCCAGACTGGAGTGCAATGGCACAATTTCGGCTCAGCGCAACCTCCGCCTTCCAGGTTCAAGCGATTCTTGATTCTCCCGCTCAGCCTCCTGAGTAGCTGGGATTACAGGCATGCACCAGCAAGCCTGGCTAATTTTGTATTTTTAGTAGAGACAGGGTTTCTCCATGTTGGTCATGGCTGGTCTTGAACTCTCGACCTCAGGTGATCTGCCCACCCCAGCCTCCCAAAGTGCTGGGATTACAGGCGTGAGCCACTGCACCCGGCCTGAAGGATCTTTTAAAAATACAAATCTGGTTTAACTCTGCCGTCATTAAATGTAGTCAATAGACACCATTTGTCTTCAAGATAAAGTGCAAACCATTAGCAGAAATTAGTTTATAGTTTTGACTTAGACATGACATTTTTGGAAGGCTTTCCATGCCTCCCAATATTGAACTAGATACATTCTTATTTTATTTGTAAGCCTGTATCTCCAAATAATTACTCTAGTTGTCACACTTCTATATTCAATTATAATTGCCCAATAGTTCTTTGTAATCCTAGTAGAACAGAAATCCTTAAAATCAGACACTTGTTTTCTTATTACTGAGTTCACTGTTGATGCTGAATAGTGTCTGAAACATATTTAATGCACAACAAGTTATTTGTTAATTAATTTTTTGTAAATTACATTTTTAACTCAAATATATAAAGCTTGGTTAGGCTACCAGATGAATTATACCAGTTTTGCTTTTCAGACCTGAAGTTATCTAGTTAATGTAACTCTACTACATTTTATAAAGAATTGATAGTTATCTGTTTAAAACTAGCAGGAGACCAGTCAGGGAAATTAAAATTCTCCGTGGATCTTGTGTTGAAATTCTAATCTCTTCTAAAGTGATGTAACTATTATATTGCCAGTGAATTAAAGAAAAGAGATCATTTCATAATCTTAAGGTTATAGCCTAATGCATGAAGTTTAATTTTTTTACTTCCCTAGGTGAGAGTGAAATGATGTGATTACATTTCATCTGAAACCTAAAATTAGCTCAATCCAACATGTTCTTTTTGAAAGGGTAACAGGAAAATGATGTAATGTTTTGTATGTCACATTTAATTCTGCTGGTAGTCTTTGTAATGACATATCTTGTGATTTTGTGTTTGAAATTTTGCAGAAGGAAATGGAGCATTGAATGGGCTATATACAGTTGATTTTGTTAATCAAATGAGTAGAGAAAAACTTAAACCCAAGAAAAAATATATTCTTTATATTTCACTATGAAATAGGGTAATAAAATGCTCAAATATATGCATGATTATTTTTGGTGATTTGAAATGGTGTGTGAAATCACCTGATTTTCTGCTGTGATGTTGCACTTGAAATAATAAATGCAAACAAATGTGGATAATAATTCAACTGCTTATACTCAGTTTTTGAAATTAATGTCTATTCATAACACTAATATGTCCAATGAAATAAAATGAAGCTCTGCTGGTAACGGAATTTTTTACAAGTAAAAATATAAAGTCCAGGTGAAATAAGATATTAATCTTTTTATCTTTTCCTTTTATCATTAAATTTGCATCAAATTAAGTAGAATACATTTTTTAAAATATTATTGTCTGATTTGATACAAAAGGTACCAAATATATTTCTAACTTAGAGCAATTTTTGATTCTCAGAAATTGATATATTAATCAATAATAATAGGCTGGGGGCAGTGGCTCACACCTGTAATCAAAGCATTTTGGGAGGCTGAGGTGGGCAGATCACCTGAGGTCAGGAGTTGGAGACCAGCATGGCTGACATGGTGAAACCTCGCCTCTACTAAAAACACAAAAATTAGTGGGGCGTTGTGGCACATTCCTGTAATCACATCTACTAGGGAGGCTGAGGCACAAGAATTGCTTGATCCGGGAGGCAGAGTTTACAGTGAGCTGAAATCGTGCCATTGCACTCCAGCCTGGATGACAGAATGAAACTCTGTCTCAAAAAAAAAAAAAAATCAATAATAATGACATTACTGTAATCAGAAATGCAATATAAAATACAGAGAGTGGAATTTCTGAGAAAATTCTGCCCTCAGCTAATATTTTCTAAATATCTATGGGGGTGAGGGGTTGATTAATGAATTTTCCTGGGTAAGTTATGTAAAAAATTGTTTAATTCAGTTTATTTTACTTTTGGTAGGTGTGTAGGAAGAGAAAGCAAGAATAGAATGGTTTGAAATAGTGAAGATGCAGGTTGTGAAATGGTGAATGAGAGCAGCTTACTGGGCATCAGAGAGTTCATTTCATTCCCCAGTGTTCCTTGATTATTATTTTTAATTGAAATAATTATAGATACACATACAATTGTAAGAAATAATACCAAAAGAGCTCATTTGTATACTGCGCCCACTTCTGGAAATGATAACATTTTGCACAACTATAGTTCAGTGTCACAACCAGGCAACTGACATGTATACAAGCCCTTGAATTTTATCAAAGGCTCTAATATAATTGTTTTATTCAGCAATCTATTTTATCTTCCTTATAGTTTACTGCTGTGTAACCAAGATTAAACAGTGTTTTAAAAAATTAATGTAATTGAAAACTTGTAATCATTTTATTTATTTGGAAAATATTACTTATATATTTATGTTACCAACTGCATACCAATCACAAAACCCATAAAAGTTCTATGTATGTATTATTTATGTATATTTATGTATTTGCTTATATGCATTATATATTATACATACATATATAAAATCTTGTGACATGAGAAATTAGGCAACCAAATGTATGTATGTGTGAATATGCATATTTGGTGCAATCTTGTGGCATGAGAAATTAGGATGCTGCAAGATTTGTTTTAGATAGATGGAGAGAGAGAGAGAGAGAGAGAGAGAGATTGAGAGAGAGATGTTGTAGGACTTTCTCCTTAGGGTCCTTGTTACACAGCCCGGAAAGATTAGGCTCGCAGACCCTTTGAAGGGTGAATAGGGCAGGGTTTATTGGGTGAAAAGGAAAAAAAAAAAGGAAACGGAGAGTCTCAGCAAAGCGAGAGTCCTGCTAGTTGTCTTTCTGCCTCACAGATTCAATCCCAGATTACCACCCCGGAACAGGAGAGGCCAGGCTCCTCCCTGCTGCAAATGATGCGAACTTCCCATGGCTCCACCCCATTCTCCCAGTGCACAGGCTGGTCGTAGGTTCTCTGGGGACCCCTTTATACTTGGCTGTCAGAGGGAGACAGACAGAGAGAGAGACATATGAAGAGAGAATATTTTTGTATTTTTGTGGTTGCTATATTTACACATACATATAGTTACCAAATTTCCATGCCACAAGGTAATTAAACATCCAGAGTGGAGGGTGGAGGCAGGGCACGCTGAAGATGGCATGCATTGTATACGGTACAAGGTTCAAGATTCAGAGAAATATTTGACTAAGATCATAAGTTCTTACACATTTCCGCTAGATATCAGTCACAACCTTGGTGTAGGTAAATCCAAAATATCCCCATTGATAATCATGATATTTAGTGTGTCTCTTCACATTTATGAAGACCTTTTTGAATTTAGGATCTTAGCTAGTAGCTCACAGGCCTTTTTGTGTTTGTAAAATAGGAGAGTGTTTTATTCTTCTCAAGAGTTTTCTTTAATTGTGTTCTTGCTTAGTCATGTAGTGCCAGTCTTCTTTTTAAGGTGCTGTCATCGATTTATTTTTTTGTTCTAATTTCAATTATGTAAAACTTTGAGTGTCATATATTTAGAGATGTTTTGTTTTCTATTGCAATAATTGTGTGCCATTCATTACAATAATTATTTTATTTTTAACTTTGATAATTTATCTTATGTGAGCTTTTCTTCACAATGAATTACTCTGGCAGAACTATTCTTAACCAGAATGGAATGGTCCAAAAATGAACCTTCAAGATATTACTTGCAACAACTTTGCCAATGTGATTGAATAACTTTTACAGTAGACTTTCCACATAAATCCAATATCTAATAAATAATTTACCTTTACTCTTGTCTAGGAAATACTGCTATCACTTTAGCTCTCATATTTCCCTCATGTGAGGAAGAAGCCAGCAACGTGGAATGTGGCACATGATTTTTGAAGAGTAATCAACCCTTGTCATTATTTATGTCTGAGCAACATAGTTACTATCGAACATAGAGCAGCTATAGGTCCTAGCATCCTCTCAAATTTTGCTACATTTTATTACAAGAAATAGGAAAAATATCATGTATGATTATATATTTTTATTCTACAAGTGCAAAGATGTGTCCATGAAAGCCATCAAAACATGTTTTCTGTTTCATTTCTTTTACACAAAATGATGTCAACTTGCAAACTTATACAGATTTTTTGGCATTAATTTACAATGTAATATTAACATTCTTTAAGTATCTCTCCGAGAAAAGAGAATTAGGGTATGTTAAATATTTAATGTTAGAATATTTTATAGTATCTAAGACCAGGGCATCCCTGAGAAATGAAAAGGAGGCAGAAATTGGTAAACGAAGGAAACCACAGACCAACACCTGCAATAGCGCTGTTGCTATCTATTTTTGGTAGTGGTAATTGGTAGTGCTGGGAGGAATTAGGGGTCACGGAAACACCCGAGAGGGTACTGGGATGGAAGTACCTTAGGAAACCCAGTCAGATTGGTGAACGCCTCCATATAGAGGATCCTCCCCATACTCACATATTGGACCAGGCAGAGGCAACTGCATTTTCTGCCTCCAGCATAGAGTAGTAAGTTTGAGAACATGGGCACAGAGATAGGTAAACCCTTGATAACTGTAAATACTCTGGAGCTATGCTACCCTCAGACCCCCAGCTGCATCAACCACCCCAAAATAATAATAAATACACAACACAAAATCAGCAAATATTTGCAGAAATCCAATACCATAAAAATGAAGTGGGAGAGTTCCATGATTCCCCTTGCAGGACATGTGACAGGGGTGTGGCTTGCCTGTTCAGTCGCCCAGCAGCTCAAAGCCCTGAGGGAGCAGGCAGATGGACAGGTGCTGGAGCCCAAGTAGGCTTGTGTTACAGTGTGCTCTTTCAGCCTTATTGTCCGGGGACAGCTGAGTGTCAACCCCCTTGTCCTGGGTTCTTTTCTGGTGTCCTGAACCAATCAGGACACATGAACTGTTTGAAAGGTGATGAATGCAGAGACTTTACTGAGCAGTGGGGGCAGCTTTCAGAGGGATGGGGAGCTGGAGTGGGAAGATGGAGGGTAGGAGGATCAAATCTTTACCTAGGGTTTGGCTGTTCTCGGAGGCACTCCTCTGGAAGTTCAGACACTTCTTCCTTCCTTCTCTAATGCCACCCTGCTGCCCTCTGCCACTCTCTGCCATTTTCTACCACTTTGTTCCTCTTGACGATCAGCCACTGTGTGTGTGCCTGCTAAAGTCTTAGATTTATGTGGGCACAGGATGGGGTTCGTGGTGGGCCAGAGCGGTCTTGGAAAATGCAACATTCAGATGTGAAAACAGGACCGCATGTTCTCACTTAGGTCCACCAGCACAGGCTGGAGGGTGGAGCCCTTACCAGGGACCCTGCCCTTTTCTACCCAGCACTTCCCTGCCCCGCTCCCATATCAAAAATACAGAAGTCTTAACACCAAACTAAAATAGAGGAAACCATAGGTAATGGAACAAAAAAAGAAATTTAGAATAAGTATAATAAGTATTGTCAGTACTGTCATATACAGAATACTATATTGCACTGATAAAAATAGACACATTATGTAAATGAAATCACCAATAAAAGTAAACAAACAAGCAGAAAAAAATCTTAAAATATGAGCTGAAATGCAAATAGGAATAGAAGGGGGAATGAATTTGTGATTGTATGATCAAATTGAAGAATTTTTTCAGAACACAGGAAGTATGTTTCAAAGTACAAAATCAATCTCATAAAATAAAAAAAATAACATGAAGATAAAATGCACATAAAGACGTACACACACACACATCCAAACTAACATAGTGAAATTTCAGGTCACCAAGAATATAGAGAAAATTCAAAACATTCTTTAGAAGAAATATCAGACCCCCGACAAAAGAACAAGAATCACCATAACTTCAAACGCTAAAAAACAATAAAAATAAAAAAATACTATCTTAAGGGGGATATAGAAAATTATATAAAATTTCTGACAATTTGGGACCTAGGATTCTATGCTTAGTCAAATTATATCCATTGTCTGGGAAAATAGAAGTATTTTCATATATAGAAGTCTATGTGTGGATGGATTCAGGAAATTTATTATGCATAGAACCTCTGAAATAATCCCTAGAGAATATGTACAGTAAGGAGAAGACAACATGAATCTAAAAGAGGTAATTGGGAACCATAGTTATTTGCAAAATATTAACAAACTTATGAGTATAGAATATTAAGTATTAAAGTATTGTGTTAAAGAGCATGGAAACCCAGCCAGACTGATAACTGGAATTCAAACTTTCCTACTAATTATCTATGTGACCTTGGACATATTTCTTAACTTCTTTCTGGCTCAATGTCTTTATTTGTAAAATGGGAAAAATAAATGTATTCACCTCATAAGAGTATTATGAGCATTAAGTAAATTAGTACTTGTCAAGTGGTTAGAACAATTCCTTGCAAATGATAAGCACTCAATAAGTGTTAACTATAATTATTTTTAATGCAAAAGTTAATAACAATTTTGAACTAAAACTGCAGGTATTATAAAATAGAATTCATTTGGAATCAAGAGAAGATAAGTTTAGGTAGCATTTTTCTAATGTTTTGCTTTTGATATAATAGCATGGATATTTCTTAACTTTTGTCATTCCCAGAAATATGTTCATTTAGGAATGTGTGTTAAAAATTTAGTCTGAGTGAATTCCTGTTTTTTGAAACCAAAGTAACTAGTGCAATTTTCTCCTTGTACTTCTCCAGCATTACCTTTTCCTTTATGATTCATTCTTTAGTTTAGTATTTCTAAAACATATTTGGGGAAAATAAATGACTTTTGGGAAAGCATATCAGACACTCTCTGTGTGTGCGTGTGTGTGTGTCTGTGTCTGTATCTGTGTCTATAAAAAAATTGTGATTGTTTAGAAAAGATTATTTAGTATTGGTTTCTTTTCTGACTCACAATATTTATTTTATCAAATAAAAATATCGAGGGAGATATGAAGTGTTTTTTATAATAGATCATAGCTTTAAAAGACTGAGGTTACTAAAATCCTACTTTATACATATTTAACAATTTATTTTCCTATAAATTAATATGCAAAGTCTTTAGCATAGCACATAAAATCATTCCTTTAACCCTTGTGTAATTTCCTAGCATACTCTACTGTTACTCTCTTGTAAACTTCAGTAAGAAATTATATTAATCATGTCATCTTGCCTTTGTGCCTTTCCAAAAAACATGTGCCCATTCCTTTCCAAAATCATGTGCATGTGTATACACACATGTATACATATGTATGTACACATATGTTATAGTTACACATTTTAACCCTGCATGAATGAATTTCAACTGACATCTTTTCTAAGAAGGCTTACCATATTTCCTGCTTTCAGAAATCATAAACAGTTCTATGAACATTTTTGGAAGAGAGGGATCAGGATTAATAAACTGAGCACCGTGCATCATTTCTAACTAACAAACTATCTTGTTCCCAGGCACTGTGTATGAGTTCAAGACTTCATTGACTATATTACCCCATATTAGTGGGATTTTCTTCATGTAAATGTTCCCCTAGAGGTGGTAGAGCATACCAAAATACTATTTCATGTTACTCTTATTCTCCCATCATCACAATGCTTTCATCCTTTAGCTCTTTTTCTTTTCTACCTACTTAGTCTCCACTTCTCTGTGTGAGGTGAGAGAATTTCCCCAGCAATTGATAGGTGCCCAGTCTCTTCTTGGGATTCAGACTGTTTATGGACTCAGGTATGAGTGGCTAGTATGATCATTCTCTCCTTGTCAAGTTTTATTTCCCAGGTCTTAAAAACTATATATATAACAGTGCAAGAGTTAATCTCCAATAGTCCTTTTCAGGACCACATCTAAGATTAGTGTTCCCTTTGCATGTATAAGACATGAATTTTAAAAGTGTGTCTCTCATTCCTGAACTTAAGCTCCCATATAAATTTCTTTTTGATTAGTTTGTAGTTGAGAGTTGCTATGTTTAATCATTTCTCCCTCTTATTTCCAGGTTTCATGCCACGTTTGATTTTGTTTCAACATTGGACAATGACTCTTTTTGTACTCTTCTTCAGTTATTTTTTCACCTGAAGTTATTGATTTCCTTTGTTTTCCCTTTGATTTCTCCTTTAATTTATACTTATTTTCCTTTTAACTTAATTATGTTATGTATCTAAGTTCTTGATTTTATTTCAGTGTATTGGAGTTAGTTGTTAAAAATATGTGTTCAATCTGGCATATTGGCTTGCAAGCCTGTTTAGTGTATTTTTAATGTTTCTATAACAGCTCTTCATTTCTGACGTGATGAAAGAAAAAGTAAATCTTACATCTTTCTATAATGTGAGAAGGCAAAACAATCTGACTTTTAAAAAAGTTTTATTTTGTTTTCAATAGACATACAATAATTGTATATGTTTATAGGGTACAGTGTGATGTTTTGATACATGTGTACAATGCATAAGATGTAAATTACCCTAATCTGCCTTTTTGATCCTGTACACCAATAGTGTATGTGGAGATCTGAAGAAGAAAAGAGCTCCCACCAATTGCCTCTGAGATCTTACACATCCTCAGAGAATCACAAAGCTGCTGGTGCAGATGTTTTCCAGTTTGAATGGCAGCTGAGAAATAATTTTCTATGACCCTAAGCTACAATAGAAAAATCAGGCCTAGAATTGTGTAGTGTGAGGGGAGATGAGGCAGGGCACCATGTTGCCCAGCTCTGTCTCTCCTTGGTTTCTCCTGGCTAAGCTACATTTCCAATGCATGCCATGGAGCAAGTGCCTCATGCTATGGGCAAAATATGTTCTCTAAGACAGAAAAAATGTCAGAAAGGTTTAGGTTTATCAGAATGAGCACTCACATAGAAAAACTAGTTTAAAATAAAAAAGCTTAATGCAAAAATGTTTGGTGGGTGTTTCTTCTTCAATAAAAATAAAGGCCAACCTCAGAAGAGAAGCCCATAATGGGAAATCTATTGCCTCGATTAAAAGCGGAAACACTAGCTGAGCCATGAGGTGATTATTTTATACTGGCAGTGGATCTGCACTCTTTGTACGCATTTCAAACATTTCTCATGCTCTTCAGTTATTATCCCATCGATGTACTCAGCACATTATAAACAAATGGGTGGCAGGAAAGCAATTAGAGATTTAGTATGTACTGCTCTGCACTGTGCTTTATTTTCATTTTTCTTTTATTTGTTTATATGGTAAAGTAAGGGCACAGCCTCTCTAATGCCGATCTACTCCATAAATGATGGTGAGTGACAGATTTTTCTTTGAGGTAGTATAACTGTTATTGTTGTTTTTATTTTAACACATATTTTTCAATTCTCTTTGACTTCTGCACTGATGAATATGGCTTATGGGCAAGCACTCACACTCTATTATTCATTGACAGGGCAAATAGAGATAGAGACTTAATGTGAGATTCTTAAATAAAGAAAAGAGCACTATTTAATGGGAAATGCTGACACAGAGACGATTTTTTTTTTTAAGTGGCAAAACTATGTGTCCTCATTTCTTTCTTCCTTATTCCTGGCTTCAAGGCAGAATAATTTGCAGTCTATATATTTCTCTGAAAAACAATGTGCTTAGGAATTTTATTTTATTATTATTTATTACTATGATTATTTAGAGACAGGGTCTCACTCTGTCACCCAGGCTGGAGTGCAGTGGCACGATCACAACTCACTGAAGCCTTGACATTCTGGGCTCAGCTGCTCCTCCCACCTTAGCCTCCTAAGTAGCTAGAACTATGGGCACCTGCCACCATGTCCGGCTAATTTTTTGATTTTTTTTAGAGGTAAGATTTTTGCCATGTTGCCCAGCCTGGTCTTGAACTCCTGGGCTCAAGCGATCTGCCCGCCTTGGCCTCCCAAAGTACTAGGATTACATGTGTGAGCCATTGCACCCATCCAGGAATTTTAAAAGTCCCTTTACTGGCCTCCTAACTATAGGTGCTGAGATTAAATTTGAATAGAGCACTGCATAAACTGGTCTCAAAGCAGGATTTTACCAAGTAAAGATGTCCACTGCAGTGGCCCAGAACACACTGGGAGCTGGACCTTTCATGATGCTCCTTCTCCTTGATTCTCTGTAGGTAATTTCCATTGTTCCAATTTTGCCAAGGCTGATGAATCAAAACAAGAGGCCGATTTCTCATTGTCTTATTTCCCTGCAGGACACTTTTAGAGAACCTGGGTTTAATCCTGGTATTTTGCTTAGGACAGATTTTTTTAAACACCCAAGCCCAAAATAATATGATAGCCACGTATTTGTTATCAATTCAGTGTACTTATTCAATCAATGGATTCTAAATGAATAGTGACCAAATATTAACCAGCAATCGGGCTGCAGGACTTTTTTTCTTTTGATTTTTTTATGTTATATGGTCATATCGATCACATGTTACAGAGCAGAAAAATAATTTGAGATAGTAGTCAACATTTTCTGCTCCTTTCCCCACCCCTATCAACCACCTATACTCAGGCTGTCACTATTTTAGGAAGGAGCTATCAGATCAGTGTTGGAGAATAACAGCACAAAAGCTTTTGTTTCTATAAAGAAGAGCCTGGGCTTTAAGCACAAGGCCCCAAATTTTTATTTCGTAGTCACAAAACTAGGTATTTCTGACCTCCCACTTTTTCAACCTCTCCTCCCAGCCTCCCTCCCATCTGCCCCCACATGAGAATTGTGTAATCTTCCAAAAGAGTGAGAATTTTTGGAAGAAATGGGAAATAAATAAAGTGAGTGAGATGTGATCAGCTTGCTCCCTCATGCCCTGCAGACCACCTGGCCAGGAAGGGTTGTCAGTGTAGGTAATCCACTAAAAATCTGGAATCTTAGGGGATAGGGGCCTCTTTTCTCTCTCCTAGTTTATGCCTTTGAGGAAACTCATGACCTCTGAAAGAAGATCCTAGAGACATGAAATGTGTGGTGGAGTAGCAATGGTGGAGTGAGCGGCTGTTTAAATGTGAGAAGGCCAGAGGCTAACTGCAGCCATCACAGCTCCTAAGTGAAATGGAAGGCCATTCAGAATTGTCTCTGGGTCCCCTACATGGCAGGTAGGTGAACTGAGAGAGCAAGCCAATGTTTGGGGAGGCAGAATCAGGTACCATCTCAGATGTTACAGCACTTTTCAAGTTTTTCTCCAATAACATTGGGAGTTACTCCTGTTTGCTCTCATTACATAGTGTTTTTCTTTAAAGCAATTTGCCATGATCTGCCTTTTATTTTAGGTCTATTCAGTTTTGGAACCTGAAATAAATATGCAGTCATCTTAGTAGGGGCACAATAAATGTGATGAATTTAGTGGTTTTGTTTTACAATCAAATATATTTCTTACATAGATTATGAATGGTCATTAAGGCAACTACCATATTTTACATATTTCTTTCCCATGCAGTGAGCTTTATATCCACATGAGACTGAAGATATAGAAAGACGGAGGAGTGTTAGGTGAGAAAACAGAGTGAGAGAGATTAGCATGTGAATTCTAAAAACTTATTGCTTATAATTTTTTTTCTTTTTAATCTTTATGGCTTTTATTTTTCTCCTTTTTTCCTTCTTTTCTCCTTCCTTCTCCCCACTCCCAATTAAAAAATGATTGCAGTGGCTAGAATTTCCACTATAATGTTGAATAGAAGTGGTAAGACCTGACATCCCTGTATTACTCTCCATCTTGGAGGAAAATATTCGGTCCTTCATCATTACATAGGATGTAAAGCAGTAGATATTTTAACCCTTTCACAGGTTGAGGGAATTCTCTTGTATCCCTAGTTTGCTGAGAGATTATTATTCTTATTGTTATTATTTAACTTTTGACAAAATGAGTAACTGTATTAGAACAGTGTCAAAGATTACAAGCACTGGCTGTTTGGGGTGGCAAATTATATAATTGTTGTGCCACAATTTTCTCATCGGATAAAATGATGATAATGACATCATTTGCATTAAACGATTGGTTTGAGAAATAAATGAGAAACTATTTGCTACAGAAAGTAGCATGATGTTTACCACAGAATAAGCACATATGAAGTATTTGTTGAATAAACAGATCGGTGGCAAATTGGATAAGCAGCTTTAATTTGAAGGACATAGGAATCTGAGTGGATAATTATATACTGAAGTCTAAAGAAGCAATTGTAGTATTGCTTACTTCAGTAGCTAACACCCAAACAGGGTAGAATTCTGATTTGTGAACATACTCTTTATTGTATTCTTAATTTAGAATGACCTCATGGAGGAAATAAAATAGAGTTTACTTGGTTATGATGCTTTGACAAAAATGCAGCTATTTTGGCTTTCAATACAATTATAGTGCTATTTACAGTATTAGAAACAAAAATCACCTAAGGTTTTAGCCACATTTTTTTCTTTCCCTCCCTTCTCTTCTTTTCTCTCCCCTTTCTCCTTCCCTGCTTTTTCTTTTCTTTTCCTTTCCTTTTTATCCCTCTGGCATGTATGCTGACTGTATGCCCAGTCATCTGATAGACACAGACCATACAATGGCCCATGAGGAACATTTAAAATCTAATGAGAAGGCACACTGTATTATCCTACACAGCGTGCTTGATAAGTGATGTTATGGGAAAGGATAAAGAAACTCACAGGAGAGCTACCAAACTTAGACTTTGCAGTTTATGAAAGATTTCCCAGCAGAAGTAACATTTAAGGTGAGACCCACAGAATAAAAAGGAGTTAGCCAGAAAAAGAAGTTGTTCATTAAGATTGTTCCACTATGAAAACACACAAGAAACCTGGGATGTACAAGAGGTGGACAGAACAAAGAAATAAGGACAAGTTAGAAGGGATGGTGCCTCAGGTATGATGAAAAAGAGCTATCTGGAATAACCTCATTTGAGCCAGTCAATAATGTTGAAGGATTCAGTCTTTACCCAGAGATGTTAGCTAATTAGATGGGCTCACACATCCAGGATAGCAAGAGTATCAAGGGTATTCTTGGCAAGAATAGCAAAGATGTGGGAACAAGTAGGTTTAGCACTGGGTATTCACAAGGTGATTCTCAGCAGTCCTTGGTCCTGAAAGAGTACCCTGTCCAGATTGCTTGGCAACTATTGGTATTTAGCTGAACGCGTTTTTAAAGAATTTCAAAAAAGCGATTTGCTTATGGACAATGACGGCAAGTCTGCTAATCTGGACAAAAAGTTGAAAATTGTAAAACACCAATTGAAACAAACAGTTCCTCCCTCCCTCCCTCCCTCCCTCCCTCCCTCCCTCCCTCCCTCCCTCCCTCCCTCCCTTCCTTCCTTCCTTCCTTCCTTCCTTCCTTCCTTCCTTCCTTCCTTCCTTCCTTCCATAAGTTATTGGGGTACAGGTAGTATTTCATTACATGAATAAGTTCTTTAGTGGTGACCTGTGAGACTTTGGTGCACCCATCACCCAAGCAGTATACACTGCACCTTATTTGTAGTCTTTTATCCCTTGCCCCCGCCACAACATTTCTCCCCAAGTCCCCAAAGTTGATTATCTCATTCTTATGCCTTTGTGTCCTCATAGTTTAGCTTCCACTTATGAGTGAGAATATATGATGTTTGCTTTTCCATTCCTGAGTTACTTCACTTAGAATAATAATCTGCAATCTCATCCAGGTCACTGCAAATGCTGTTAATTTATTCCTTTTTATGGCTGAGTAGTATTCCATCAAATATATATTTATATATAAATATAAAATATATATTATATAAAAATATATTTTTATATATGTATATCACAGTTTCTTTATCCACTTGATTGATTGGCATTTGGGTTGGTTCCACGATTTTGCAACTGTGACTTAAGCTGCTATAAACATGCATGTGCAAGTTTCTTTTTCAAATAATGACTTTTTTTCCTCTGGGTAGATACCCAGTAGTGGGATTGCTGGATCAAATGACAGTTCTACTTTTAGTTCCTTAAGGAATCTCCACACTGTTTATCATCGTGGTTGTACTAATTTATATTCAATTAGCAGTGTAGAAGTGTTCCCTGATCACTGCATCCATACCAGCATCTACTGTTTTTTGATTTTTTTGATTATGGCAATTCTTACAGGAGTAAGTTGGTATTGCATTGTGGTTTTGATTTGCATTTCCATGATCATCTGTGATGTTGAGCGTTTTTTCATATGTTTGTTGGCCATTTGTATAACTTCTTTTGAGAATTGTCTATTCCTGTCTTAGCCCACTTTTTGATGGGACCGTTTGTTTTTTTCTTACTGATTTGTTTGAGTTTGTTGTAGATTCTGGATATTAGTCTTTTGTCAGATGTATAGATGGTGAAGATTTTCGCCCACTCTGTGGGTTGTCTGTTTACTCTGCTGACTGTTCTTTTTGACATGCAAAAGCACTTTAGTTTAATTAGGTCCCGTCTATTTATCTTTGTTTTTATTGCATTTGCTTTTGGGGTTTTGGTCATGAAATCCTTCCTAAGCAAATGTCTAGAAAGGTTTTTCCAATGTTATCTTCTAGAATTTTTATAGTTTCAGATCTTAGGTTTAACTCCTTAATCCATCTTGAGTTGATTTTTGGATTAGGTGAGAGATGAGGATCCAGTTTCATTTCCTACATGTGGGTAGCCAATTATCCCAGCACCATTTGTTGAAAACGGTGTCCTTTCCCCACTTTATGTTTTTGTTTGCTTTGTCAAAGATCAGTTGGCTGTAAGTATTTGGCTTTATTTCTGAATTCTCTATTCTGTTCCACTTGTCTATGTGCCTATTTTTATACCAGTAACAAACTGTTTTGATGACCATGTCCTTATAGTTTGAAATCAGGTAGTGCGATGCCTTCAGATTTGTTCTTTTTGCTTAGTCTTGCTTTGGCCATGCAAGCTTTTTTTTGGTTACATATACATTTTAAAATTGTTTTCTTCTAATTCTATGAAGAATGATGGTGGCATTTTGATGGGGATTGCATTGAATTTGTAGATTGCTTTTGGCAGTGTGGTCATTTTCACAATATTGATTCTACCCATCCATGAGCATGGATGTGTTTCCATTTCTTTGTGTCATCTATGATTTATTTTAGCAGTGTTTTGTAGAGGTCTTGTAGAGGTCTTTTGACTCTTTGGTTAGGTATATTCCTAAGTGTTTTGGGTTTTTTTGCATCTATTGTAAAAGGGGTTGAGTTCTTGATTTGATTATCCGATTGGTCGCTGTTGGTGTATAGAAGAGTTACTGATTTGTGTACATTAACCTTGTATCTGGAAACTTTGCTGAATTCTTTTATCAATTTTAGGAGCTTTCTGGAGGAGTCTTTAGGGTTTTCAAGGTAAACGATCATATCATCAGCAAACAGTGACAGTTTGACTTCCTTTTTACCGATTTGGATGCCCTTCATTTCCTTCTCTTGTCTGATTGCCCTAGCTAGGACTTCCAATACTATGTTGAAGAGTAGTGGTGAGAGTGGGCATCCTTGTCTTGTTCCATTTCTCAGGGAAAATGCTTTCAACTTTTCCCCATTCAGTATTATGTTGGCTGTGGGTTTGTCCTAGATGGATTTTATTACATTAAGGGATGTTCTTTGTATGCCAATTTTGCTGAGAGTTTTAATCATAAAGGGATGCTGAAAATTCTTTTTCTGCATCTATTGAGGTGATCAAATGGTTTTTGTTTTTAATTCTTCTTATGTGGCATATCACATTTACTGACTTGTGTATGTTAAACCATCCCTGCATCCCTGGTATGAAACCCACTTGATTATGGTGGGTTATCTTTCTGAAATGTTGTTGGATTCAGTTAGCTAGTATTTTGTTAAGGATTTTAGCATCTATTCATCAAGGATATTGGTCTGTAGTTTTCTTTCTTGGTTATGCCCTTCCCTGGTTTTGGAATTAGGGTGATGGTGGCTTTGTAGAATGAATTAGGGAGGGTTCCTTCTTTCTCTATCTTGTGGAATAGTGTCAAAAGGATTAGCACCAATTCTTTGAATGTCTGGTACAATTCTGCTGTGAATCAGGCTGGTCCTGGACTTTTTTTCCTGGGTAATTTTTAAATTACCATTTCAATCTGACTGCTTGTTATTGGTCTGTTCAGGGTATCTGAATAGGAGGGTTGTATTTTTCCAGGAATTTACGCATCTCTTCTAGGTTTTCTAGTTTATGTGTGTAAAGGTGTTCATAGTAGCCTTGAATGATCTTTTTTATTTCAGTAGTGTCAGTTGTGATATCTCCTGTTTCATTTCTTATTGAGGTTATTTGGATTTTGTCTCTTCTTTTCTGGGTTAATCTTGCTAATGGACTATCAATTTTATTTATGTTTTTGAAGAGCCAGCTTTTTGTTTTATTTATCTTTGTAGTTTTTGTTTGTTTGTTTGTTTCAATTTCATTTAGCTCTGCTCTGATCTTAGTTATTTCCTTTCTTCTGCTGGGTTTGGGTTTGGTTTGTTCTTGTTTCTCTAGTTCCTTGATGTGTGACCTTAGAATGTTCGTTTGTTCTCTTTCAGTTTTCTTGATGTAAGCGTTTAGTGCTATGAACTTTCCTCTTAGCACTGCCTTTACTGTATCCGAAAGGTTTTGGTAGGTTGTGTCATTATTGTCATTCAGTTTGAAGAATTTTTTAATTTTCTTTTTGATTTTGTTTTTGACCCAATATTCCTCCAGAAACAGATTATTTAATTTCCATGTATTTGCATGGTTTTGAATGTTCCTTTTGGAATTGATGTCCAGTTTTATTCCACTGTGGTCTGAGACACTGCTCCAGAAAGCTCCTAGAACTGGTCTGATAATTTCAATTTTCTTAAATTTATTGAGACTTGTTTGGTGGCCTATCACATGGTCTATCAGGGAGAAAGTTCCATGTGCTGTTGAATAGAAAGTATATTCTGTGGTTGTTGGGTGAAATGTTCTGTTCCAAGGCATAGTTTAAATCTATTGTTTCTTTGTTGACTTTGTCTTGATGACCTGTCTAGTGCTATCAGTGGAGTATTGAAGTCCCCCACTATTATTGTGTTGCTGTCTATCTCATTTCTTATGTGTATTAGTGATTGTTTATGAGTTTGGGAGTGTGAATATTAGGTGCATATGTTTAGGATTGTGATATTTTCCTGTTGGACAAGGTTTTTTAGCATTGTATAATGTCCCTCTTTGTCTTTTTTAACTGCTGTTGCTTTACAGTTTGTTTTGTCTGATATAAGAACAGCTACTCCTGCTCGCTTTTGGTGTTCATTTGCATGAAATGCCTTTTCCCACCCCTTTACTTTAAGTTTATGTGAGTCCTTATGTGTTAGGTGAGTCTCCTGAAGACAGCAGATAGTTTGTAGGTGAGTTCTTATCCATTCTGTGGTCCTGTATCTTTTAAGTGTAACATTTAGGCCATTTACATTCAATGTTAGTATTGACACATGAGGTACTGTTGCATTCATTGTGCTCTTTATTGCCTGTGTACTTTGTTTTTTTGTTTTGTTTTGTTTTTGCTTTTTAATTTGTATTTTTGTTTTATAGGTCCTGAGTAATTTATGCTTTAAAAGTTCTGTATTGATGTGTTTCCAGGATTTGTTTCAAGATTTAGAGCTCCTTTTAGCAATTCTTTTATTGGTGGCTTGGGAATGGTGAATTATCTCAGTATTTATTTGACTGAAAAAATCTGTATCTTTCCTTCATATATGATGCTTAGCTTCTCTGGATACAAAATTATTAGCTGATAATTGTTATGTTTGAGGCTGAAGATAGGGCCCCAATCCCTTCTGGCTTGTGGGGTTTTTGCTGAGAAATCTGCTGTTAATCTGATAGATTTTCCTTTATAGGTTACCTGGTGCTTCTGTCTCACAGCTCTTAAGATTATTTCCTTTGTCTTAATTTTGAATAACCTGATGACAATGTGCCTAGGTGATGATCTTTTTGCGATGAATTTCCCAGGTGTTCTTTGTGCTTCTTGAATTTGGATGTCTAGGTCTTTAGCAAGGTCAGGGAAGTTTTCCTTGATTATTCTCCCAAATATGTTTTTCAAGCTTTTAGAATTATCTTTTACCTCAGGAACACCAATTATTCTTAGGTTTAGTCATTTAACATAATCCCAGACTTCTTGGAGGATTTGTTCATATTTTCTTATTCTTTTTTCTTTGTCTTCATTTGATTCGGTTATTTCCAAGACTTTGTCTTTGAGCTCTGAATTTCTTTTTTTTTTTTTTTTTTTTTTTTTTTTTTTTTTTTGAGACGGAGTCTCGCTCTGTCGCCCAGGCTGGAGTGCAGTGGCGGGATCTCGGCTCACTGCAAGCTCCGCCTCCCGGGTTCACGCCATTCTCCTGCCTCAGCCTCCCAAGTAGCTGGGACTACAGGCGCCCGCCACTACGCCCGGCTAATTTTTTGTATTTTTAGTAGAGACGGGGTTTCACCGTTTTAGCCGGGATGGTCTCGATCTCCTGACCTCGTGATCCGCCCGCCTCGGCCTCCCAAAGTGCTGGGATTACAGGCGTGAGCCACCGCGCCCGGCCTGAATTTCTTTCTTCTACTTGTTCAATTCTGTAGCTGAGACTCTCGAGAGCATTTCACATTTCTAAAAGTGTCTCCAAAATTTCCTGAATTTTTCATTGTTTTTTCTTTAAGCTATCTATTTCCTTGAATTTTTCTCCCTTCACTTCTTGTATCATTTTTTGTATTTCCTTGCATTGGGCTTTGCCTTTCTCTGGTGCCCCCCCGATTAGCTTAATAAATAACCTCCTGAATTCTTTTTCTATCCCAGTTCTATCAGGGATTTCTTCTTGGTTTGGATTCATTTCTGGTGAACTAGTGTGCTTGTGGGGGTGTTAAAGATCCTGGTTTTGTCACATTACTAGGGTTGGTTTTCTGGTTCCTTTTCATTAGGGTAGTCTCTGTCAAAGGGAAGGTCTAGGGCTGAAGGCTGTTGTTCAGATTCTCTTGTCCCATGGGGTGTTTCCTTGATGTAATACTCTCCCCCTTTCCTATAGATGTGGCTTCCTGTGAGCTGAACAGCTGTGATTGTTGTCTCTCTTTTGGGTCTAGTCACCCAGCGAGTCTACCCAGCTCCAGGCTGCTACTGCAGGTTATCTGCACAGAGTCCTGAGATGTGAACTGTCTATGGTTCTCTCAGCTGTAGATACCAGTTCCTGTTCTGGTGGAGGTGGTGGGGGCGGCGGGGGGTTGCAATGGACTCTGTGAGGGTTCTTAACTTTGGTGGCTTAATGCTCTATTTTTGTGCTCATTGGCCTCCTGCTGGGAGGTGGCACTTTCCAGACAGCATCAACTGTAGTAGTATGGAGAGGTACCAGTGGTGAGCGGGGCCCTAGAACTCCCAAGATTTTATGCCCTTTGTCTTCTGCTATCAGGGTGGGTAGGGAAAGACTATCAGATGGGGGCAGGGCTAGGCGTGTCTGAGCTCAGACTCTCCTTGAGTAGGTATTTCTGCAGCTGCTGTGGGGGACAGGGCTGAGATTCCCAGGTCACTGGAGTTGTGTACCTACGAGGATTATGGCTGCCTCTGCTGAGTCATGCAGGTTGTCACAGAAGTGGGGGTAAGCCGGCAGTCACAGGCCTCACCCAGCTCCCACGCAAACTGAAGGGCCAGTCTCACTCCCACCACGCCTCCCTATACCCCAACAGTCCCCCAAAGTTCTGTTTCCGGGCCATGGGCAAGACGGGCTTGAAAACTTGCCCCAGGCTACCTGCCTCCCAGCTGTGAAAGAAGAGGGCTTAGTTCTTCCCCAGCCTGTGGAGTCTGCACACTGGATTTGAAACCACCCTTGAGTTCTGGCCAGGAGGCTTCTCTGCCTGTTCAAGTTGTTACAAAATTCAACTAGAGATTTCCTTCCCTGTGGAATTTTAACCCCTGCTCCTCTGGCTGCCCTCCTGATGGATCCCTGTGGTGCCAGGCAGGAATGGGCTGCTTGGGGACCTAGTGAGCTCCCAGGGCCTTTCTGCTGCTTCCCCTACCCCTGTATTTCACTCAGCTCTCTAAATTGACTCAGCTCCAGGTAAGGTTGGAAACTTCTCCCACAAACAGGCCTTCAGTTTCTCCAGTGGGAGTGTGTGCTCAGCAGAGGAATAGTCCCCTTTCTCACTTCCACAGTTGCGGCATGCACAATATTTGAGGTGTCTCCTGGGTCCTGCAGAAGCAGTCCACTTCCTTCAGAGGGTCTGTGGGTCCTCTCAGGGTTGCTGGTTTGTTCTTGCAGTTGATCTGGAGCTAAAATTCACAATGCGAGCCTCCGCACGTTACTCTGTCCGGAACTGCAATCTAGTCCGGCCTCCCATCTGCCATGATGATCCTGTTTTTTAAACTATTTAAACATTGAACTATGAGCAATGTTTAACACCTTAGGCAGAAATCTCTGACAAAGTCTATTTATCTCTTTTGGAGTAGAGAGGAATACTTTAATGAATTAAATTGAAAATGAGCTGTCACTTACCTCCTATGTAAATTTACCCTTAGGTGAATATTCTAATATTGTACTTCCTAAATGAGTTTTCCTACTAATGAATTAACTAATATTTAAAAATGCAAACATATTATATGAAAATTACTAATGCTTTGTGCCTTTGATTTTTCTTCACATTGATTACAAATGTTCTTGCAATTAAGAAAATGGAAACTGTAAATATCTTAGCATGATAAAGAGCTCTGTAACATCTATTTTGAATCTTTTGCTTTCTGAAAATTAATACATTATAATTATTAGTGTCCTGTTTGCAGAACTGTTTTATAATTACTACAAAAAGATTACTTACTCATTGGTTTAGACATAGTCTTACATAACTCTTTTTTGTTACTGTTTTTTTTTTTGCCTGATTACTTTGTTTCCTCCATTTTATCAATTTCATCTTCTGAACAAGCACCACTTTTCTGTCTCATACTGGTTGTTTGGCTATCTCCATACCATGAAGATGCTACAGTGCATAAACCCTATAGTTGAGTAATGTTTTCTTATTTGTCTCATGCATTTACCACTACTTCCCTTTTAATTATTGTTAATGCCCTGAAATTGCCTACAATTTTGAAATATGCCTACAGATTTCATCAGTAGTAAGTCTGTAACTTGCCAAATATAGTATTTGATATTGTATTTTGTTATTTACAATGATTTCCTGGGAATTTTCAAGAGAGGTTTTAGGCAGCTAGCCAAAAGCCATTTGCATTCCATGCTCTGAACTTATGTGTGTATATATATATATATGTGTGTGTGTGTGTGTGTGTGTGTGTGTGTGTGTGTGTGTATTTCTAAATATTACGCTTTCTAAAGTACTATGTTTTTGCTTCTAAATCATTAACCAAAATATGTTCTTCTATATCCTCAATACGTTATCTCTATATTTTGTTTTTTGGGATTTTTTCATAAATCTCATGCTATTTTTTTCTCTTCACTCATCTTTGAATGAGAAGAGGTCAGTCTAGGCCTCTGCTTCTCAGGAGCAGTGCTGCTGCATCTCCTTCTGCCCCTCACTCTTCACCTGCATTCCTTTTGAGGCCTTTTCTCAGATCTTCTGCTGAATCCTACTGATGTGCAGAGTGAATACACAAGGCTGATGATCATGTATCTCTTCTCACTGCCTGGTTCTCTAATTATGCTAAGGTGAATGTATCCTTGGAAAATCTCATGCAAGCTGTGCAGTTACTCTTGGCAGAAGGTGTGCAAACCAACCAAAAGTGCATAGCCTCTAATGCTCTTCCATTCTCCAACACTTTCTAATTATTTAGTTCACCTTTCTATATGCAGTGTGCATTTTTTCTGTCTGATGTGGCTTCTTAATCTACAGCACTATAGAGGAATAAAATCTGGAGTAGTCTCAGATGAAAAGGTAACTAATTAGAGAGATGATCTTGAAGCAACCCTGATCACCCCACAGAGCAGCTCCTCAGCACAGTAAATCTAACATGAACCTGAGTTACGGTCTACAGCCGAGGAAGATAGAAATCACTTGCAGGTTTCATCATGTCTTAGGGCCATCGTTATTTCTCATCCATATACACGGGTATCCACAGAAAAGTATTGCTAGTTCAAGACACTTCAAACTTTTACATTTGTTCCGATATATGTATATATATATATATTGAAATTTTCAGTGAGAAAATAGGGATGGAGTGAAAGGACAAGTTAGACAGATTATACATCACCATCTTTACCTAAAACTAGTTGTGAACAACTTTCATTGGATTTTTAGGTTGTTAAGACACTGTGAAAAAAATGACTTTTTCAGATTGAGTTACTGGTAATCTTAGCTGCTCTTATGAATAAGATATTTACTAAGAAGTAATTCCTAAAAATATATAATTGAGACTATTGTAGGCTTTACGGATGGGGGCTGCCTCTGTGATATTTATGCAATGGTTAAGAGTGACTCTAGATCTACCTACCCTGTGTGCAAATTCTTCTACTACCACTTTTATAATGGTTGATTTCATCTCCCTCTGTTATCCTGGTCACTTTAGGCAACTTTCTTAAACTTTATTTCTAGGTTTGATGTGTGCATATCTGTTTGATTGTCTACCTGATTTTTTCCATTTGTACTGTGGGAATGATGATAGTACTGCTTGATAAGCTTGTTGCAGGATTAAATGTGATAACTTTGGGACACGTGTTATATATAGTAAGCTTTCAATAAATTTCAGCTTATATTAGTTATTATGCTGCCCAAATATGTATTCTGTTTAGTCACGTATCAGACTGGTTTTCCTAAAGTGTACTAAACGTATTTGATTACATTGTTCATTGGTTAAACATGTTTGTTGAATGAGTTGATAATATATATACTACTGTAAATGTTTGTAACATTAGATTGAGTTAATCATGTAGATCTATTTGAAAAATTATCAGCATGGTGGGCCTGGTTTATTTATAACTACATTCTTGCAGTCATTGTGCATTTTGAATACATTTCAATATTGAAATACTTCTTTATTTTATCCATTAAGTCTCTAAAAGTTAGTATACTTGCATTATAGAAATAATGTTAAACACAGAAAAGCTGGCACAAGAAGTTTACTTACAACACTACACACCCAAGCCAACAACCCTTATAAACTATTGTCCTTGAGAATCACAAAAACTCCGTGAGCAGGGAAAGTTATTTTGTTCAGGTTCATAAAAGCAAGTAATGAAACCAGATTTGAACCCAACAGAAATTTTTGTTTCTGAAGTTAATACTGTTTCTATTAGGCCATGCTGTCTTCTCTTCAACTTGAAAATAAAGGCTGCCCTGAAGTGCTAGATAATACTTGAAAACATTGACAGTCAATAAATGTCACAGTTCTCTCCTGGTTGCTACATATTTCAGAATTGACATGGAATAATAAATATGCTTCTGAGTTATTAATTCTGAGGAGAGTTATGAAATATAAATATATACTTTGCCCAGCCTATTTTAAAAGCATCTTGCATTTCCTGTTTAACTAATGGTGGCCTCTCTGTCTCTCTCTCGTGTGTGTGTGTGTGTGTGTGTGTGTGTGTGTGTGTGTGTAGGGGGAGAGGCATATATGAAGATGTGAATGATCAATTTATGCAATATAACTCATGAAAATAGGCTGAGGATCACTTTCAACTGGTTCAGACATGCCCCCCCAGAAAAGACATTTTGTTCTTTGACGATAGACACATTATCATCCTGTATTGTCATTGGGAAGATCAAGAAGCACAGGAAGTACACAAGAAATTATAACTGATGAATGGATCAGTGACTGTTACTCCCTGTTCAATGTCAGCACAGAAGAAAAATTCTACACATGTCCAGGAAACACTTATTTGTACATGAAAAATAATGTTTTGTTTTAAACTTTCTTGTATCATGTCTTATAGCAATGTTTAATTGCTCACCAAAGGTTCATGTCTTTTTAAAATAAGTTTTCCAATACAGCACTTTGATAACATCAGTAGCATTAGTATCTGAAAGAGTTAGCATTTGAAAGATAAGCAAGGAACTTTGAGTCCTCTCTTGCTATACCCGTGTGGTGGAAAGTAAGAGCTGCAGGATTTTGGAACATGTGGAAATGGCATGTGGTGAAATAAGGCAAAGTTGGAGGTTGAACAGGGAAGACAAAGTAATATGTCTAGTGATAGCATCTACTCCATAACTATAATAAGAGCAACCACTTATAGAGCTTGCAGTATGTCGATTTCACTGTTCTAGGTGCTTCCTATGCATTATCTTTAACATTATCATAAAAGAAACCCCATGAATAGATATACACTCACTTGTCTTTTTAATTACAAAAAGCTAACCAGGCAAATGAAGTTTGATGTAACTAGAATAAAAATCTGGCCCACCATGGTGTGTACACTTATGACACATTAGCTTTATGACTATTCCTAATGGACATGTATAAATGTTTTACTCAACCCTCAAAATTCATCTTGTGAATTTGGTTCACTTTAAATCAAGTTTAGATTTAAAAGTGCCAATTAAAATGCTAACGTACAATTTTCAATTGCATGTAAGATCAGTGTTATTTGCCTCTATACCCAGATTAATTCAATAATACCAATACTATGATAAACACCCAATATTTATAAAACAAATAATATGACAGATATATTAATAAATGCTTCATATTCTTTATTTCATTTAATGCTTATAATGACAGTATAAAATTAAATTTATAGAAACTAAGAAACTTGCCTAGACATAGAGCTAAGAGGTGTTTCTGTTTGTGCCTAACATTTCAAATGACTTTTTAGTACATCTGAAATTATATATTTCATAATAGTTATGATCTTTCCAAAAGAAGAAAAAAATGAATTCTGAAATCTCATTATAAATTAAGATACCACTTTCTAAATAGTAACACAAGACATTTAAACAAAAGACATTATTTTGTTCAATCTAATTTTAATAAATATCAATATTTAATTCCCTACTGTTCAAATACAAATCTATTATTTTATTCTCTGACTTTCCTATAACCCGTCTTTTATGGATGTATTCACCTGATTGTCTTCTGTTTCTCTGTATCACAGGCTTGGACAGCTCATCTGAGATTATATTTTTAACTGTCACACTTAGAAGACTTCTACCTCTATTCTTGTGTTCAAATCTTGTTATAGAGCATCTTTGACTCTCATGTATAGTCTTATACAGTGTGAATAGGATACTGTAAATTTTTGTGTGCGTGTTGGTTTCTAAATAAAATATCTAAGTAGTAAAAAAGACATATTACAAATTCATTAGAGTAAATCACTTTCTCCATTTCTAAAAAATATACTTAAGAATCTTTATGAAGGCTTAATAAAATATTTATGTAACCTATTATCCTTTCATTTAGAGGCACCTTAATTTACACAAAAAGTAACGGAAAATATTTGTATTTTGTACTTACCTCTTGTGTTTTTCACCAAAGCTTTGAAAATGTGAATGTACCCACCCATTTATGAAAAATAACTTCCATGTGATCTAATTTGAAATGCCAACCTCTATTGAGAAACCAGTCAATTAAATCAGACTGACTTGCTCTTAGGACAAGCATGTAGGCATGTCTTTTTATTCAAAAAGTTAAAAAAAAAGTCCCAGTGATATCTACCTCACATTTGAATTCTAAATCTTAGGGAGCTAGATAGATATAAATAGAGAGGTAGAGAGAGAGAGAAGCTTACTATTTTGACAACTTTATTGAGGTATATCTTGCATGTGAGAAAATTTACTCATTTCAAGTGCACAAGTCACTGTCTCTTAGTAACTTTATCAAATGATGCAACCATCAGCATAAATTTTAGAGCATCTTCAACCCTTTCCACAATGAGACTCCTCAGGCCCATTACAATTTCTACCCTAGCCCCAGGCCTAGGTAATCACTAATTTACTGTCTCTACAAGTTTGCCTTTTCTGGAAATTTCATATAAATAGAAATGCATAATACTGACTGGCTTCTTTGAGGCTCACACAGGATGTAGCAAGTGTCAGTCATCCATTCCTTTGTTATTGCCGAATATATTTCATTGTGTGAATATATAGTATTTTGCCTATTGATCGATCAGTTGATGGATATTTAGGTTGTTTCCAGTTTTTGGCTGTTATGAATAATGCTGCTATAAACCTCACATGTAACCTAATTTGTATGCAAATCTTTGCATGGGGATACGTTTTCATTTATGTTTTATACACATCTAAGAACAGAATTGCTAGGATCATATGGCAATTTCACGTTTAACTTTTGGAGAAACTGACAAATGTTTTCTACCATGGCTTTACCATATTACATTCCCACTAACAATTTATGAGCAATCTCAGTTTTCCAGATGCTTGCCAATGTTTCTTATGGTTTGTCTTATTTATTGTAGTCATGCTACTAGATATGGCATGCTATCAATTTTGGTTTTAATTTGCATTTCCCTGATGACTACTGATGATGAACATCTTTTCATGGGCTCGTTAGCCACTTGAGTGTTTTATTTTATAAATATTTATATCTTTTGCCTACTTTATTGTACTGTTTAGTATAGGTCTTTATATAAAATCTAGATATAAGTATTTTATAAGGTATGTATTTTGTAATTTATTGAGTAATACCCCACAAGCAGAGGTGACCAAATTAAAAATGGGCAAACGGTGTAACATCAAGTCAAAAAGCCTCTGCACAGCAAAGGAAATGATCAACAAATTGAAGAGACAACCCACAGAATAGGAGAAAATATTTGCAGACTACCCATCCAACAAGGGATTGACAACCAGATTATATAAGGGGCTCAAATTAGCTCTAGAGGAAAAAATGGAATAATCAAATTTAAAAATGGGAAAAATATTTGAATAGCTATTTCTTGAAAGAAGACATACAAATGGCAAACAGGCATATGAAAAGATGCTCCACATCATTGGTTATCAGAAAAATGCAAATGAAAACTACAATGAGATATCATCTCACCCCAATTAAAATGCCTCATGTCCAAAAGATAGGCAGTAACAAATGCTAATAAGGATGTGGAGAAAAAGTAATTCTTGTACACTTTTGGTGGGAATGTAAATTAGTACAACCACTGTGGAGAACAGTTTGGAGGTTCCCCAAAGAATGAAAAGTAGTGCTACCATATGATCCAGCAATCCTGCTGCTGAGTATATATCCCAAAGAAAGAAAATCAGTATATTGGAGAGATATGTGAACTCCCATGTTTGTTGCAGCACTGTTCACAAAAGCCAAGATCTGGAAGCAACCCTAAGTGTCTATCAACAGATGATGGATAAAGGAAATATGGTACATATACACAATGGAGTACTCTTTTGACATAAAAAAGAATGAGATCCTGTCACTTGCAACAACATGGTTGGAAGTGGAGGTCATTATGTTAAGTGAAATGAGCCAGGCACAGAAGGCAAACATACCGTGTTCTAAGTTATATATGGGATCTAAAAATAAAAACAATCGAACTCATGAAGATAGAAAACAGAAGGATGGTACCCAAAGGCTGGGAAGAGTAGTAGGGAGTGTAGGGAGGAGGTGGGGATAGTTAATGAGTACACACACAAGAAAAGATTGAATGAATAAAACCAAGTTTTTGATAGCACAGGATGACTATAGTCAAAATAATTTAATCACACATTTAAAAATAACTAAAATAATATAATTGGATTGTTTGTAACACAAAGGATAAGTGCTTGAGGGGATGGATGCCCCATTTTCCATGATGTGATGATGATGATGATGATTTATTTTTGAGACGGAGTCTTGCTCTGTCACCCATGCTGGAGTGCAGTGGTGTGATCTTGGCTCCCTGCAACCTCTGCCTCCTGGGTTCAAGCAATTCCCCTGCCTCAGTTTCCTGAGTAGCTGAGATTACAGGCATGCACCACCATGCCTGGCTAATTTTTGTACTTAGTAGAGACAGGGATTCACCATGTTGGTCACAATGGTCTCAAACTCCTGACCTCATGATCTGCCCACCTCAGCCTCCCAAAGTGCTGGGATTACAGGCCTGAGCCACCGCGCCCGTCCTTCTGATGTGATTATTATGAAAAGCATGTTTATATCAAAGTATCTCATGTACCCCATAAATATATACACCTACTATGTACTCACAAAAATTAAAAGTTAAAAATGTTTTAAAAAGATGTATATTTTGCAAGTATTTTCCCCCTGTATCCAAACTGGGCTCTGTATTCATTTTCTTTTACTGTCAGCTGGGAGACCTATAACAATATAAATTGAATAATTGAAGAATTTTTTACAAAACCAATATTTTATTCATACATCTCAAACAATTATCATAGTTTTGGAAAGGTCTGCCAGTGCAAATATGAACATTTGTGCATTGGCCTCCTGTCATGCTTAACTATTATATTTTACCTTAAACATATGGAGTTGAAATATGCAATTGCAAACTGAGTGTTTCATAGAAAATGCTTGACATTTAGAGCCTCAGCACCTATTATTTGAATGCACATAGGCTTGTTTGCTTTTTAATTTGTCAGCATGAGGTATGCAATTATGGCTTAGAAAACAAAATTTTAAAAGTTGCTTTCTTTTCTCATATTGTTTAACAGGAATACAGTTGAGTGTTCCACCAGCTGTTTGCTACATTGTTCTCTATTTAAGAGTTCCCCAAACAAGCAGTATGGAGGAGTCAGAAAATTTTTGGTTTGAACATCTATTATGCATTTACTGTGACTATAAGTGCTTACTCATTCTTCCTTAAATTTATGCTTATAATATTATGGTAATTTTCCTCCTAATAGGAAATATATTAGCCTTTTTTTTCTTTTTCTGTACTCTATTTGGAACTTTTATTGTGTTCAGTATGCATGAATTTTAATTTTCTTTTTTGTTAAGGCAATATAAAAAAGCACCAACTGTGACTTATTTTTAATGTAGCTTTAATATTTTAAATACAACCCGATTAAAATCATCTTTTCCACTGAATAGCAGATACAGATAATTTGGTATTGAATAAGGTGCGAAAAAATAAAGTTAGACTGGTATAATGTTACCTTTAATTTAATATTTGTTTCTATTAAGAAATATATGCATATTATTAATGTGAAATAAAGTAATATCAGACCCTTTCAGAAGACCAAGACAACCATTTTCCTATCCAAGTAGAAGCTAGCTATGCTGTAAACAACAGGTTTTAACTATAAATGTCAGAACAAGAGATTCTGTTTATGGAAATGGAGAATTAGTCTGGAACTTTTTATATGATGACAAAGACTCTCTTTTGACCAAACTCTACTCAAGGGCTCTTCTGAGTCCTCTTTTTGACTAGGCCTCAGCCTCATAGTATAAGAACTACAAACTCTTAGCACAAATGATTTTATCCACCACCTATACTAACAGACTTAAATAAACGCTAGTATAGTTTCTGTCAGCTCAGGGCAGTGTTCCTAGGATGACAACTTCAGCCCCTGAAAATCCCTGCCTGAGAAAGCTTGATGCTACAAAAGAATTTATGCTTTGTTCCAGCCAAAACCTGACTATAGTTCTCTGACTACCCTTTTCTTGGAAGCTTTACTTTTTTTTTTATGTGCAAATGTGCAAATGTAAATCTGTTCTCTGTCCCTTTTAGAAGTATCTTCTACAACTCAGCAATGTCCTTCTCAAGAACTTGGGAGCCATCCTTTTGAAAAGTACTCAGCAAGAAAGATAAGTCCCTTATCTCCTAGTTTCCTTGGTTGGATAGGAGTCTAACTTTAAAAGTTAGCAAATGTAGATGACCTAATGACATTAATCAACCTCTCTCCCCTTCCCACTCTTAATGTGCTCATGGACTCTACTTTTAGCACACTCTGCATTTAAAAAGTCTCTTTCATTTTGTTTCCATGGAATTGAATTCAGTTTATACAAAAATCTGTCTCTGCTATTCTGAAGTCTGAATAAAATCTGTCTTACCATTTTTAATGTGTCTAGTGAATAATCTTTCACAATGGCAGCACCATTCTTTCAGCCACTGGACCAAAACCCCTGGAATCATCTTTGATTCCTCTCTATCTCAGCATTACATAGATTCACCAGAAAATCCTGTCAGTTTTACCACTCTTGATCATTCTTTACTTTCTTGGGCTAAGCCACCTTTCACTATTATCTGGACTACTGGGCTAGCCTCTCAGTCTTTCTCCTTGCACAATGCCTCCCTCAGTGGGTTAAGAAAATAATAGCCAGAGTGATTCTAATAAGACATAGTCACACTATGTCTCTATTTTGCTTAAAGCCCACTGGTGACTTCCCATCTTATTACAAGTGAAATTGAAAGCCCTTAGACTGAAATAGAAAGTCCTGTAATACCTGCCCCTCTCTTACCCACAATAATTATCTTGCTGATTTCATCTGCTTGCCTCTGTTACAGCTAATTTGTTCCACACTGACCACTCTGGCTGCCTTGCTGTTTTTTAAATATTAGTACAAAGCACACCAAGCATATTCCTACCTGCAGTCATTTATGCTACTTCTTCCTCTTTCTGGAATGCTCTTCCTCCAAAAATCAAAATGACTTCATATACCTTGTACTTCAGGTCTTTGTGGAAATATCTCTTTCTAGGTGAGATCTTCCTTGACCACTCATACTAAAAATCAACTCCCTGTTTCTACCCTGCCAATCTAAAGCAAGAATTCTTTCAGCTATAGTTTTCTCCAAATTACTTGAGTTGTATGAAATGGTGTTCATTACTATCATTCTCATTGAATTCTACTAGCATCAGTGGTGGTAAGCTTGGATTGATAATTAAACATAACATAATAGGCATCACCAGCACCAAGATTATTTAGTTTTAAGATAGGATCAAGGGCAAAAAAACAACATGGCTGGTACCACATGAAGTGCCTCATGATTCCCAAGCACAGTTTCCCAAATCCACATTCAAAACATGTTTAGCCACAGAAGGAGCTGAGTGGTCACTGGCCAAGAAGGCCATCAGCTATTGAATCCCTTCACCTTTTACATCCAGCTAGTCCACCATGTCCTCCGAGATTTGTGACAAGTTTTCATTCCTCATTGATGCTACTTCTCAACAGTACTGGTGACTCATTTGTTAATAAACAATGTCAACAATAAAGCACATGTGCTTACTCTTATACACATTCTTTGACTGAATTCTCATTTATCTTGGATCCAATATTATGTCTACCTATGCATTATTTGAATTAATATTGCTAGGAAAATTAACTAAATGTCAAATCCTCAAGCATCCCTGAGGCCATTCAACATAGAAAAAGCCATATAAACAGTGCCTAAACCTTTCTTTCTGCTTTATATAGGTTTATTTTTACTTTGTTTATTTTCTTTTCCTCTGACTTTTCCAAAGTAGCAGCATATGACATTGCATGACATTACCAGTATATGACATTTATACAAGCTTTACTGACATAGAGATCATTGAACTCAAAACATGCATTCAAACCTTAAGCTGAATCTTGAGTTTACTATTATAATGCTTAGATGTTCATTATCATACATACAAACTCTAACTTCTGTTAGAGCTATGCCAATTATTATATCCCTTTTATTTTTCTTCTGAATGTCATAAGGCTCATGGTTATATATGGAAATCTGTGAAAAACAGGCTAGCCCTTATAGTAAGTATATTGTTTTAACTTTTTTCTGTAATCTGGATTTTGTATTACAATTAAAAAGTACATTTTAATGTCTCATTTTAAGCTACCTCGGGTTATTTGATAATTATAACATAAAACACAAAACTAAGATTTGGAGATTTGATTTTTGTATTTAAAGTCCAATTCACCGTTAAGCAGGCTTCTACTTGAATAGAAGGTTTGAAGGCAATGTCACCAATAAAACCTTTGTGGTGTATGTGATTTAAAAATATATGTAGGTATAAATATTTAAAATATATATTTATTTTTAATTTATTTTATTTTATTTATTTTCTTATTTTATTTATTTTATTTTTATTTATTTATTTAAAATAATTTAAAAATTTAAATTATATGATAATTATATGATATATAATATATAATTAATATATATAATTATATATAGTTTATATAATTATATATATTATATAATTATATAAATATATATAATTACATATTATACATAATATATAATTATATATAAATTATATGATATATTATATATAACAATAAATTATATATTATATAAATATAAATATATTAATATTTATATATTTATATAATATATTAAAATATATTATAAATAATATATTTTTAACTGTATATAATATTTTTATATAATATAAATTTTATATATATAGTCAAGAGGACTGACCTTCTTCAGCTATCTACACATTTGAATACAAAAGATTCAGTGCTATTTTAAATAGCACTGAATATATATTATAATATATAAATATAAATAATATAAATATTATATATTACATATAATATATTTAATGTATATATTTAATGTATATTTAATATATAAATAGTACATATATTTAATACATATTATATATTATATATTATAATATATAATATATATACAGCATATTATATATTATAATATATAATATATTATATATACAGCATATTATATATTATATACAATATACTATTTATATATTCAATTTGCTTTAGATTCACCAGGCACGTATTTGTTTGTAGATAATCTAGATATGACTGCAATTGGCAATCTTCATTATTTGATTCATTATATACTTGAATATGAAGCTGAAATAAAAGTTGTTTGGTAATTCTGAGAAACCTTAGGGAATGGGATTATTTTAAGTAAATATGATTAAGAATACTGAGACACAAGAGAGATAGAAAACATGGCCGATACTTGTCATTTATGATGTTGAAACTTTATTTCTGATTCACTAATATGCACTCATTAAAATAAATAAGTACAATCCTGTAGGAAAATGTGCTCAATCAGTTTCAGTTACAATCATCTAGGTAAATTTATAATGATTACCAGAGCATTAAATAAATCCCAAAGATACCGTGTTTATCCTGAAGGCTCCAGTTAAAAAAAAAAGAGTCATAAAGGAGAAGTGTTTTTATCTTATTAAATACGAAAGCAAAGGGTTAGTTACAGAGCTTGATCAGAGACAATGAGAAAGTCGGTCTCTAACTTCATATAATTAATATTTGTCAGGCCTTACAAATGATAGGAAAAAAGTTCAGATTTAAGTTAAACAATTTGGTCTCAGCAGCATTAAAAATAAGCTCTCACCTGCTTCTAATTTTCTTGTTGATTACAAAGGTCATTGGCTGTTTGAACAGTGAAGAAAAAAGGAGCTTTTAGAAGAGCATGCACATGAAAGCTCCAGAAAGGAGTCTTGTATGTTAATGAGTGAGGGGCATTGATCAGTATGCAGTTGCAGGCTCAGAATATGATAAACATGCTTGAATATCTTTCTATTCACAAGGGCACTCATTTATGTGTGCAAGTAAGCAGCATAAATCCATTATTTGAAATTGCACTAAGACCTTCAATTACCTTTTTGAAAATTGGTGATATTTTTATATTTTATAAGTTTTGGTCTAATGGTCTTAAAAGTAGGGTTTAAAATTCTACCAAAATTACAGATCTCATGAAAATATGATATTAAATTACATTATCTATGATCTCTTATAAATACTTCATTTCCTCTTTTTATGTAATTTTTCAGCCTTCTACAAGAACAGAAAATGATAATAGCCATCATTCATTGACTACTAACAATGAACTAAGTATTCTCTATTTATTATCTTTATTAACCATCATAACAAACCCACACGTAAGGGATTGTTATCCTCATTTTACAGAAAAGAAACTGAGATTCATTTCTCTGAGGTGAAGGACTTAGCATAATTTATTTTCTGCTCCAATAGTTCCTCAATATTTCTATCACTGGGGTTCTTAAGGAAGACAACTTGTCAGTATCCCTATGACATTTTCAAACTTATGTAAACCTGGGCCTGATGTCTAAAAATTATGTTCAGTAGGTTTTGGGTGATATTCAACTCCTGAATTGCATTTGTTTATAATTTTTAAGAGATCAACAGAGATGCTGATGTCATACCCAGTTGAGAATCACTATTATTTGCCTTTACAGAATACAATAACTAAAATAATGCTTTCAGCTCTCACTAATACTCAGGAACAAATTGATGGTTAAAGACTTTGGGTCCTAGAGAAATGGCTTCCATGCTCTTACTACTGACTAATAATTATTGATTTTAGTTATGTGCTTGATATTATTCTAAGCAGTTTATGTCTAATAACTACTTAAGCCTCATAATGACATTACTGGATAGAGACTTTTATAAGCTCATTTCATAAATGAAGAGCTGAGTCATGGAGTGTCAAGGAATTTGTCCAAGACAACACAAATCATTCTTCAACTACTCTCTGAGGATTTACTAGCTTCTCTATGGCTCTCAAAGCATCTCTTTTTAATAATAATGAAACATTTCACATATCCAAAATAATAAGCACATCGTTTATAATAGGTAGGTGTAATAATAACAATAAACTGTATATTTAACTGTCCAGATATAGAATATAATGATAATTATACTATTTTATGGGATTTCATTACATATTTGAAATAAAGTTAGGTTTATTAATAATTTATATTACATTATATATTTTTCATCTTTTTAAAAATTTATGATACATGGTTGTATATAGTTATGTATATGCACAAACAAATGTATTTTTCCCTTCTATACTTCAGTTTTTTTTGTGCTTTGCTGTTCTCAACTAAGAATGTACTCTATAGATCACTTCACATCCATTTAAAATCTTTCTCATTCTATTTTACAGTTTTGTATATAGTTATGTATATACACAAACAAATGTATTTTTCCCTTCTATACTTACACTTCAGTTTTTTTTGTGCTTTGCTGTTCTCAACTAAGAATGTACTCTATAGATCACTTCACATCCATTTAAAATCTTTCTCATTCTATTTTACAGTTTTGTATATAGTTATGTATATACACAAACAAATGTATTTTTCCCTTCTATACTTACACTTCAGTTTTTTTGTGCTTTGCTGTTCTCAACTAAGAATGTACTCTATAGATCACTTCACATCCATTCAAAATCTTTCTCATTCTTTTTTACAGTTTTGTAGCACTCCGTTGTGTTAAATAGTATAATTTGTTGAACCAATAGCCTATGAATGTGTATTCAGGATGTTTCTAGTATTTTGTAACTGTAACTAATGTCACAATGAATAAACTTTTGCATATGTATTTTTAATTATTTCATATGTAATTTAAGGATAAAAGTATCAAAGCGAGATTGTTAGGACAAAGGGAAAATTAGTGTGCAGTTTTGTAATATATTGTCATCTCCATAAGTCTTTACCAATTTGCATTTCTACCAGCAGTATATAAAAGCTCATATTTTTCCATAGCTTTATTAACTAAAGTGTTGACAACTTTTGATATATAAGATTTTAACGTAATTTTAATTTGTACTTATTTTGAGGGAGATTGAACCTGTTTTTATACATTTAAGAATCATTTTTATATCATAATTTGGAGAATTATCTCTTCATGGTTTTGGCTTTAGATTTTTTCATCTTTTAAACAACTTTTTGAAGAATTAATCATGTATTAGGGAAATAGGCCCTCTGTCTTTAATCTGTTTCAATTTTTTTGTTTTATCATCCATCTTTTGACATGTCCCTATGATATCTTCTTCCAAGAACTTTATAAAAGCATAAAATTGAATTTTTTAAATTGCTCCTGTACACTGGAGTCACAGTTTGCAACCTTATACCTTTATGCCCACAGAAGAGGAGATATTGAAGTCTCTGCTGTGGAGGTGAAATCACTGCAGGCTGTCTCTTTCAATCTGCGTTATCTATCAGCAGTCATAGCTTTGTGTGAGAGTTCCTGACTTAATCCCTCACCACATGGCTTCTAATACTGAAACTCCGTAACACACAGATTTCTGGACTGTCAGTGGCTCCAAAAGGTAATTACCTCTCTGTTTTAACACCCCATTTTTCTCTGTTTCCTTTGAAAAATTTCTCTAAATTTCTTAACATTTTCACAAATCATTTAAAATATTATTTATTATTTTTTCTTTTTTATTTTTTATTATTATACTTTAAGTTTTAGGGTACATGTGCACAATGTGCAGGTTAGTTACATATAAATATATACTTTATCAACTTTTTTTAGTTTTTTTTTGGTTGGATTTTCAGATATCTAGTTTGCCTTGTTACAATATTGCGAAAAAAAGGGGTATCAGGCATTGTTTTCCAATACTATAGAATTCATTTGTCGATAACATTGATACATCTGAATGAAAACTCTATCTGAAGCCGTTCTTTAATCTCATTTTACTTTTCTTTTGTATGGAAATATATGAGAGAAAATTTGTACAAATACTGTTTTGTGCACTAAAGATTTTTCCTCAAACAACAACAAAACAGCAGATATCATGAACATGAGACATTACAAGGAAAAAAAATTGTAGATGTGAAGATAAAAAGTAGAAAACCCCAGGGAAATAAACGTTATAGTTAAACTATGCCCAAAAGGCAGATTAAAATGATTTGCTCTTCTTGAGTGTTTGTTTTTATTTAGGATTTTCCTCCATGCAACATAAAACATAATTTATTATTTAATGTTTAATTTTATAATCAATGGATCACCCTTATATAAAAACAATCAAGAAACAGGACTGGTTTGGGGCAGTAGCTTTCATCACCCATTTATGAACCAAATTCAGGGTATTTGCATAGGGAATACTCAAAACTGTATTTAAAATATAGATTCCTAGGACTCATCCTTAATTAACACAGGTAAATATTATTATTGCCAACTTTACAGATAAGGAAATGTAGGGTTAAAAAATAAATTGCCTACGGGCCTACAGCTACTTTGTGACAAACAAGTCAGATGACAAATATGTATGCCTAAAGATACCAGTGTTGGACATATTCTATATGACATTTGTGTCAGTCTTCTGGATTTTTCTAATTACCTACTTGTCCATCATGAGGACAATGCAGTAGAATATGGTGTGCTATTCAGAAATAGTCTAAATTTATTACAAAGTAATATCATTTCTTTAGCCGTTAGTCAGAATTTTCCAAACTAAATAGAAAAAGAAATTCTAAGAAGAGTTGGCCAGGATCAAAAGTTTAATGTGATGTTTGTTTATTTCTGAAATTGGAAGTGTCATGATATATTTTGTGGTGGAGAAAATAAATTACATGAGATAAAGTAAACATAAATTCCAATGCAAATTTATTTATTTAGAAAACAAAAGCATATAAACAATTTATGGTTGATTGATATTAGACAATTCTGTTGATAACAACACATTTACCAGAGTAAATATGAAACAAGGTAGAGAACACTTCACACCTCTTTTTTCTGAAGGTCATTCTGCAAATCAAGCAAAGTGGAACTTTGTTTAAGCTTAAAGGGCACACACATACCCTAGGGTATATAAAAATCAGAAAGAGGCTTGTCTTATATTCATTTCTAATTTTGAAATGGCAATCTCTGTATGACTAACTTCTCTAGATTTTTTAGCTTCTCCTGCCCAAAACTTTCCCTGATTTTAAATTTTTTTTTCACACAGACTTCACAGAGAAAATATATGAGAAAGATCAGGACTGTTTAAGGAAAAAGATATTCTACTGACTGACTCAATATTGGATCTCTGAGTATATATTATTTCATCAAACCTTCCAGATAGAAACCCCAGACTCATCATCATAAATATTTGCTTATGTACTATCATTAGTAATAAAACACATATGTCATTGAAAAATCTCTATTTGTCCAATGAACCTGATGTTAGTGACTGTGTGCTAGTAGTAGTCACATATAAAAAGCTGAAGAAATATAACAGAGAAAGAGATGAGAATAGATTCAGGAGAGAAGAAATAAGGAAGCATGATCCCAAAAGGAAAGAAAAAAAAAATCTAGGAGCTGGCCTGGAACTGCTGACAAGCTTTGTTAGCTTGAAATACAGCCAACTTAATGTTAACCTGTTGTAGCTAGTGTACCAAATAGATTTGCACTGTTACAGTCTTAGAACCAAGAGACCTTACACTCTAGTATACCAAGAAATGGAACAGATGGGTTGCTAATGGTATGTGGTGTTTTTAACCATGAGTCGCAGAACATATACGTGAACTCTGTCAGTCTTATGGACAATTTTAATGTTTCCTCCAAAGGACCAAGAAGATATTAGAGCATTCTCATGGTTCTAAAAATGAATCTCAATTAAATAAATCTGGAAGTTTCTCATGAGTAGGTACAATAAGTGAGGCAGGGAGATATAAGTGAGCCATTTTTAAAAATATTTTAGGCAGAAATGTGAGAATATTTTTGTTTGTGCATCCCTTACTATATTTGACAGAGGAAAATGAGTTAGAAATCTTGACAGTTATTAAAACTTAGAACTTCAGAAGATGTTAGCAATACATCACGTGAAAACCATAAGACTCAAAGAAGCTCTTACAGGAAGCATAAAGAGCAAATTAGTAGATCGTTACAGTAATTTCTAAGAGTAACCACAGAAACCAGAAATATCTGTGGTTTGACTTAATGATGCAGAAATATAGATGCAGAAGTATAGAGACTGAGTATAGATACAAATAAAAATGTACATTATTTTTAGAAGAAAAGAAAATCCTACATTGTTTCCAGTCTTGAGAAAATCTAATGGCAGCTCTCTTAGTTGTTAATTGAAGCTGAACTGTTGAAAAGCGTTGTGTAGATAGAAATCTTAGCCCAGGTGAAGAACAAGATTCAGGCAAAGATGTTTTTCATCACACAAGTGATGACAAGTCAGCTTGCACCTTTGATAATGGCTCTCTGATTCACCATTTTTTTTTTTCTTAACAGCAGCTTAGGGAAAATGGATTGGCTGATAGAATCTTTTTTTTTTTTATTTTTTATTATACTTTAAGTTTTAGGGTACATGTGCACATTGTGCAGGTTAGTTACATATGTATACATGTGCCATGCTGGTGCGCTGCACCCACTAACTCGTCATCTAGCATTAGGTATATCTCCCAATGCTATCCCTCCCCGCTCCCCCCACCCCACCACAGTCCCCAGAGTGTGATATTCCCCTTCCTGTGTCCATGTGATCTCATTGTTCAATTCCCACCTATGAGTGAGAATATGCGGTGTTTGGTTTTCTGTTCTTGCGATAGTTTACTGAGAATGATGGTTTCCAGCTTCATCCATGTCCCTACAAAGAACATGAACTCATCATTTTTTATGGCTGCATAGTATTCCATGGTGTATATGTGCCACATTTTCTTAATCCAGTCTATCATTGTTGGACATTTGGGTTGGTTCCAAGTCTTTGCTATTGTGAATAATGCCGCAATAAACATACGTGTGCATGTGTCTTTATAGCAGCATGATTTATAGTCCTTTGGGTATATACCCAGTAATGGGATGGCTGGGTCAAATGGTATTTCTAGTTCTAGATCCCTGAGGAATCGCCACACTGACTTCCACAATGGTTGAGCTAGTTTACAGTCCCACCAACAGTGTAAAAGTGTTCCTATTTCTCCACATCCTCTCCAGCACCTGTTGTTTCCTGACTTTTTAATGATTGCCATTCTAACTGGTGTGAGATGATATCTCATAGTGGTTTTGATTTGCATTTCTCTGATGGCCAGTGATGATGAGCATTTTTTCATGTGTTTTTTGGCTGCATAAATGTCTTCTTTTGAGAAGTGTCTGTTCATGTCCTTCGCCCACTTTTTGATGGGGTTGTTTGTTTTTTTCTTGTAAATGTGTTTGAGTTCATTGTAGATTCTGGATATTAGCCCTTTGTCAGATGAGTAGGTTGCGAAAATTTTCTCCCATGTTGTAGGTTGCCTGTTCACTCTGATGGTAGTTTCTTTTGCTGTGCAGAAGCTCTTTAGTTTAATTAGATCCCATTTGTCAATTTTGGCTTTGGTTGCCATTGCTTTTGGTGTTTTAGACATGAAGTCCTTGCCCACGCCTATGTCCTGAATGGTAATGCCTAGGTTTTCTTCTACGGTTTTTATGGTTTTAGGTCTAACGTTTAAATCTTTAATCCATCTTGAATTCATTTTTGTATAAGGTGTAAGGAAGGGATCCAGTTTCAGCTTTCTACATATGGCTAGCCAGTTTTCCCAGCACCATTTATTAAATAGGGAATCCTTTCCCCATTGCTTGTTTTTCTCAGGTTTGTCAAAGATCAGATAGTTGTAGGTATGCGGCGTTATTTCTGAGGGCTCTGTTCTGTTCCATTGATCTATATCTCTGTTTTGGTACCAGTACCATGCTGTTTTGGTTACTGTAGCCTTGTAGTATAGTTTGAAGTCAGGTAGTGTGATGCCTCCAGCTTTGTTCTTTTGGCTTAGGATTGACTTGGCGATGCGGGCTCTTTTTTGGTTCCATATGAACTTTAAAGTAGTTTTTTCCAATTCTGTGAAGAAAGTCATTGGTAGCTTGATGGGGATGGCATTGAATCTGTAAATTACCTTGGGCAGTATGGCCATTTTCACGATATTGATTCTTCCTACCCATGAGCATGGAATGTTCTTCCATTTGTTTGTATCCTCTTTTATTTCCTTGAGCAGTGGTTTGTAGTTCTCCTTGAAGAGGTCCTTCACATCCCTTGTAAGTTGGATTCTTAGGTATTTTATTCTCTTTGAAGCAATTGTGAATGGGAGTTCACTCATGATTTGGCTCTCTGTTTGTCTGTTGTTGGTGTATAAGAATGCTTGTGATTTTTGTACATTGATTTTGTATCCTGAGACTTTGCTGAAGTTGCTTATCAGCTTAAGGAGATTTTGAGCTGAGACGAAGGGGTTTTCTAGATAAACAATCATGTCGTCTGCAAACAGGGACAATTTGACTTCCTCTTTTCCTAACTGAATACCCTTTATTTCCTTCTCCTGCCTGATTGCCCTGGCCAGAACTTCCAACACTATGTTGAATAGGAGCAGTGAGAGAGGGCATCCCTGTCTTGTGCCAGTTTTCAAAGGGAATGCTTCCAGTTTTTGCCCATTCAGTATGATATTGGCTGTGGGTTTGTCATAGATAGCTCTTATTATTTTGAAATACGTCCCATCAATACCTAATTTATTGAGAGTTTTTAGCATGAAGGGTTGTTGAATTTTGTCAAAGGCTTTTTCTGCATCTATTGAGATAATCATGTGGTTTTTGTCTTTGGCTCTGTTTATATGCTGGATTACATTTATTGATTTGCGTATATTGAACCAGCCTTGCATCCCAGGGATGAAGCCCACTTGATCATGGTGGATAAGCTTTTTGATGTGCTGCTGGATTCGGTTTGCCAGTATTTTATTGAGGATTTTTGCATCAATGTTCATCAAGGATATTGGTCTAAAACTCTCTTTTTTGGTTGTGTCTCTGCCCAGCTTTGGTATCAGAATGATGCTGGCCTCAGAAAATGAGTTAGGGAGGATTCCCTCTTTTTCTATTGATTGGAATAGTTTCAGAAGGAATGGTACCAGTTCCTCCTTGTACCTCTGGTAGAATTCGGCTGTGAATCCATCTGGTCCTGGACTCTTTTTGGTTGGTAAACTATTGATTATTGCCACAATTTCAGAGCCTGTTATTGGTCTATTCAGAGATTCAACTTCTTCCTGGTTTAGTCCTGGGAGAGTGTATGTGTCGAGGAATGTATCCATTTCTTCTAGATTTTCTAGTTTATTTGCATAGAGGTGTTTGTAGTATTCTCTGATGGTAGTTTGTATTTCTGTGGGATCAGTGGTGATATCCCCTTTATCATTTTTTATTGTGTCTATTTGATTCTTCTCTCTTTTTTTCTTTATTAGTCTTGCTAGTGGTCTATCAATTTTGTTGATCCTTTCAAAAAACCAGCTCCTGGATTCATTGATTTTTTGAAGGGTTTTTTGTGTCTCTATTTCCTTCAGTTCTGCTCTGATTTTAGTTATTTCTTGCCTTCTGCTAGCTTTTGAATGTGTTTGCTCTTGCTTTTCTAGTTCATTTAATTGTGATGTTAGGGTGTCAATTTTGGATCTTTCCTGCTTTCTCTTGTGGGCATTTAGTGCTATAAATTTCCCTCTACACACTGCTTTGAATGCATCCCAGAGATTCTGGTATGTTCTGTCTTTGTTCTCGTTGGTTTCAAAGAACATCTTTATTTCTGCCTTCATTTCGTTATGTACCCAGTAGTCATTCAGGAGCAGGTTGTTCAGTTTCCATGTAGTTGAGCGGCTTTGAGTGAGATTCTTAATCCTGAGTTCTAGTTTGATTGCACTGTGGTCTGAGAGATAGTTTGTTATAATTTCTGTTCTTTTACATTTGCTGAGGAGAGCTTTACTTCCAAGTATGTGGTCAATTTTGGAATAGGTGTGGTGTGGTGCTGAAAAAAATGTATGTTCTGTTGATTTGGGGTGGAGAGTTCTGTAGATGTCTATTAGGTCCGCTTGGTGCAGAGCTGAGTTCAATTCCTGGGTATCCTTGTTGACTTTCTGTCTCGTTGATCTGTCTAATGTTGACAGTGGGGTGTTAAAGTCTCCCATTATTAATGTGTGGGAGTCTAAGTCTCTTTGTAGGTCACTCAGGACTTGCTTTATGAATCTGGGTGCTCCTGTATTGGGTGCATATATATTTAGGATAGTTAGCTCCTCTTGTTGAATTGATCCCTTTACCATTATGTAATGGCCTTCTTTGTCTCTTTTGATCTTTGTTGGTTTAAAGTCTGTTTTATCAGAGACTAGGGTTACAACCCCTGCCTTTTTTTGTTTTCCATTTGCTTGGCAGATCTTCCTCCATCCTTTATTTTGAGCCTATGTGTGTCTCTGCACGTGAGATGGGTTTCCTGAATACAGCACACTGATGGGTCTTGACTCTTTATCCAATTTGCCAGTCTGTGTCTTTTAATTGGAGCATTTAGTCCATTTACATTTAAAGTTAATATTGTTATGTGTGAATTTGATCCTGTCATTATGATGTTAGCTGGTGATTTTGCTCGTTAGTTGATGCAGTTTCTTCCTAGTCTCGATGGTCTTTACATTTTGGCATGATTTTGCAGCGGCTGGTACCGGTTGTTCCTGTCCATGTTTAGCACTTCCTTCAGGAGCTCTTTTAGGGCAGGCCTGGTGGTGACAAAATCTCTCAGCATTTGCTTGTCTATAAAGTATTTTATTTCTCCTTTGCTTATGAAGCTTAGTTTGGCTGGATATGAAATTCTGGGTTGAAAATTCTTTTCTTTAAGAATGTTGAATATTGGCCCCCACTCTCTTCTGGCTTGTAGGGTTTCTGCCAAGAGATCCGCTGTTAGTCTGATGGGCTTCCCTTTGAGGGTAACCCGACCTTTCTCTCTGGCTGCCCTTCACATTTTTTCCTTCATTTCAACTTTGGTGAATCTGACAACTATGTGTCTTGGAGTTGCTCTTCTCGAGGAGTATCTTTGTGGCGTTCTCTGTATTTCCTGAATCTGAACGTTGGCCTGCCTTGCTAGATTGGGGAAGTTCTCCTGGATAATATCCTGCAGAGTGTTTTCCCACTTGGTTCCATTCTCCCCATCACTTTCAGGTACACCAATCAGACGTAGATTTGGTCTTTTCACATAGTCCCATATTTCTTGGAGGCTTTGCTCATTTCTTTTTATTCTTTTTTCTCTAAACTTCCCTTCTCGCTTCATTTCATTCATTTCATCTTCCATTGCTGATACCCTTTCTTCCAGTTGATCGCATCAGCTCCTGAGGCTTCTGCATTCTTCACGTAGTTCTCGAGCCTTGGTTTTCAGCTCCATCAGCTCCTTTAAGCACTTCTCTGTATTGGTTATTCTAGTTATACATTCTTCTAAATTTTTTTCAAAGTTTTCAACTTCTTTGCCTTTGGTTTGAATGTCCTCCCGTAGCTCAGAGTAATTTGATCGTCTGAAGCCTTCTTCTCTCAGCTCGTCAAAATCATTCTCCATCCAGCTTTGTTCCGTTGCTGGTGAGGAACTGCGTTCCTTTGGAGGAGGAGAGGCGCTCTGCATTTTAGAGTTTCCAGTTTTTCTGTTCTGTTTTTTCCCCGTCTTTGTGGTTTTATCTACTTTTGGTCTTTGATGATGGTGATGTACAGATGGGTTTTTGGTGTGGATGTCCTTTCTGTTTGTTAGTTTCCCTTCTAACAGACAGGACCCTCAGCTGCAGGTCTGTTGGAATACCCTGCCGTGTGAGGTGTCAGTGTGCCCCTGCTGGGGGGTGCCTCCCAGTTAGGCTGCTCAGGGGTCAGAGGTCAGGGACCCACTTGAGGAGGCAGTCTGCCCGTCCTCAGATCTCCAGCTGCGTGCTGGGAGAACCACTGGTCTCTTCAAAGCTGTCAGACGGGCATTTAAGTCTGCAGAGGTTACTGCTGTCTTTTTGTTTGTCTGTGCCCTGCCCCCAGAGGTGGAGCCTACAGAGGCAGGCAGGCCTCCTTGAGCTGTGGTGGGCTCCACCCAGTTCGAGCTTCCCAGCTGCTTTGTTTACCTAATCAAGCCTGGGCAATGGCGGGGGCCCTCCCCCAGCCTCGCTGCCGCCTTGCAGTTTGATCTCAGACTGCTGTGCTAGCAATGAGGGAGACTCCGTGGGCGTAGGACCCTCCGAGCCAGGTGTGGGATATAGTCTCGTGGTGCGCCGTTTTTTAAGCCGGTCTGAAAAGCGCAATATTCGGGTCGGAGTGACCCAATTTTCCAGGTGCGTCCATCACCCCTTTCTTTGACTTGGAAAGGGAACTCCCTGACCCCTTGCGCGTCCCAGGTGAGGCAATGCCTCGCCCTGCTTCGGCTCGCGCCCGGTGCGCGCACCCACTGGCCTGCGCCCACTGTCTGGCACTCCCTAGTGAGATGAACCCGGTACCTCAGATGGAAATGCAGAAATCACCGGTCTTCTGCATCGCTCACGCTGGGAGCTGTAGACCGGAGCTGTTCCTATTCGGCCATCTTGGCTCCTCCAGTCGGCTGATAGAATCTTAACAGGCCATGTGGCATTTTACTAAGCCTTTTTAACTGCTTTAATTTCATTTTTAATTCAAAGTTACTAATATTTTGACCTCCACTTCCGATATTTAGATATCCTCAGTTTGAAGCTAAAAAGACAGCCCTTGGTATGGGATAAGCAAGATACCCTAGAAATCAATTCAACCTCGAGCCTCTATAAAGGCAAAACTTGCATTAAAACTTGAACTAGGCTTCCCCCACCCTCCAGAAAGAGTCGTGAGTTCTAAGACACAGGCTAGAGGAAGCCATATTGGCTGCAGGGGCTGGAGGAGTGGACCCTGCTTCTGACAGGGCATCAAGGAAATGGGAACAGAAACCATCTGCTGAGGGCACAAAGCCACTGTCACAGTGTCTGTCATGTTGTGGGGTGTTAGTTGGTGTTAAAGGGCAGAAAGAGATGCCAGAGTTTGGACTTTGTGGGGCAGGAAGGACCGCTGAACTGGGGAGTCAAGACATATATCCCCAAACCACACATCAACTTCCAGTGGTAACCTCTGGCAGCAGGAGATCCCAGCCCCAATCAGAGGTTGAATAATAAGCCTCTTGACTCTTAGCTTAGATTATATTCTTATTTTACTTTAGATCTAGTGAATATATCTTGATTATATCCCCAATTTCTTTAATTATTCTTTAATAGTCTGCATTCTGGTGATTATTCTTTAATAGTCTGCATTCTAGTAAATTTGGCTATAAGTTTAACAAACAGCCGTTTATGATTTGAGCTTTTGGGTAGCTTCAAACTGGGAAAGATATGTAACATGAGAAAGAACATTGAAGTACAACCTTGGCTTTAAAACAGGGTTTGAACCACATAAAGCTATCTCCGATTTTAGACATGATTCACACTCCTGCAATCATGAGTCATTATGGCTATGGATATTGTTATCATTTTGTTTCATCTGAACAGCAAGTTACTATCCTAGAGATAATCAGTATGAAAATTAAAGTTTCTCTTCATCAGTAACAAGATAATCCTAACATAACCAAGTCCCCCAAAATATTTATAAAACATATTTTGGTTGTACTAACTGGATCACTTTGTATCCAGTCCTTTAGTTCCCATGATGATTTGGAAACATTTCTTTAATATGCTCCAGGTTAATTTATCATCTCTAAATTGATCTGCTAATTGAAAGCTGCAGAAAATATTATTACCCCACAGATAACTGGATAGTCCTCCTTATCTCCAAATACATAAGAATTCAGAATTCACTGTGATAACCACAGTCATAGTGTTATCTTAGGCTACAGTGGATGCCTAGTGAGACAATCACTGAACTGCATTAAGAAATGGAATAGGAGTAGATATGGCTTTCTCAATTATCTCTCGTCTGGCTGACAGTCTAAGATATTGGATGACCCTTTCATTGTCCTCTTTTTAAAAGGTTGTAACTGTGGAGCATATCTATTTCTGTTTTCTTTCTAACCCACCTTAAGAATTATCCTGGTTTATCAGTTATTTTTTCCATCTAGCCAAACCTGTATTTCATGCACTATGACCATTAGATGAAGGTCAGAGAGAATTAAGATCTGGCCTTAATACTCAATAGAGTAATATGTTCCAAAAATTAGATTTTAGATTCCTCTGGAGAAGTTCTCTCATTGTAATCACTAGGTGGTTAAAATGTTGAGGGACATGATGACAAGGAGAATAGGTGAAAGTACAGAAAAAAAAGTGATGTGGATACTTATTTAAAAATCTGGACAAATTTAGCTTACAAAACAGAAGTCTTGTGAGAGAGTTTGACAATTGAAGAACACAAGGGAAGTTCTATCAAAAGGGAAAAGAATTAACTACCTCTCTAAAGTTGCAGGTTTGCAGACCTATGACAA